>NC_000009.12:33343333-33494848 GCF_000001405.40 Homo sapiens | reverse complement strand
TATAAAGGCCTCTCTGCGCATACTGCACACTTACTCAGGTTATGATGGCTATCAGTAGATGTGAATACTAGTCTGTGCTGCTTTTCAGGTGAAACAAGGAACTTTTTATAGATGATGTGTACATAGTTACAGGAACATGAAGTGTGAATATAGGGTGCCCTGTGGCCAAGTTTAGTGTGGTGGTGAACACAGTACTTTCCAGGCCCTCATTTTTCAGACGAGTTGAAAATTAAAGGAGCAAGATGCAGTTTTAATCTTTCAGATAATATTAACAGTTCTTTTCAGTAACTGTTGCTGTGTCATTGCCAGCTATTGGATTTCTGTCTCCTTTTGATAAATATCCCAGCAGTGACACCTTAAAGTAACCAGAGTACTGTCATTTAATACTGTGTATGAGAAATTATTGGTGGTATATTACTTTATAAAAAACTAGCTGGGCACAGTGGCTCACGCTTGTAATCCTAACTGCTCGGGAGGCTGAGGCGGGAGAATCACTTGAACCCGGGAGGCAGAGGTTGCAGTGAGCCAAGATCACACCACTGCACTCCAGCTTGGGTGACAAAGACTCTGTCTCAAAAAAAAAAAATCATAGTTTACTTTAGGGAATTCTAGAGATTCTTGTGAAATATTTGTTTTTATGTATGTAGAGTTTAAACATGTAAATTACACTGAAGATACTATACTCTGCCCTTATCCCGGTGACATGGTTTTATATTTTTCTTATTATGAAAACAGTTGTTTATTACATTTCTTTGCTCCTAAAGAAAATAAAAATAAACACTCAAAACCACATACCCCACATACACATACCATCACGTGATGTCTGATTAAAAATGTTGGCAACTTTCCCTATGTTAGCACTTTGTTAGGGTATTTTAAGGTGCAAATTTTGAAGGTCTTTTTGCTAAAGGCAGATGGTATAAAGATTACTAGGAATTGCTAGTTTAAGTGAGTCATCTGATAAAAAGAAGTCAAAGAACCTAGGGGTGAATGGGCTTCTCTTTTTGTTAAGTCTGCCTTTTGATTTTTTAATTCTGTTTGCAAAAGTAATGATCCTTTTCATGGAAAAAAGTTAGAATATAACATTCTAACTCAATTCTTCATTTAAACTGTTTTATATAATGTTATGGTGCTTACTTTAATATTTGCGTTAAAAATTCTGATTTTAGCCAGTTAAAAATAGAGGTGAGAGCATTATTTGAATAAAGAAAACAAAAGGTAGGTATAAACGCTATGTGAGTGTGTGTTTAGGCGTGAGGATAGACTCAGGACTAGCCTTGATTAGAGAGTAAAAGATGCTATTAGGATACTATTAATTTTTCATTTTAATAAGTGAACTTAGTCTAGCATTCAGAAGTTCTTAACAGTCTGCCTTCTGCTTCTTTTTCTTTTTCTTTTTTTTTCTGAGACGGAGTTTTGCTCTTGTTGCCCAGGCTGGAGTGCAGTGGTGCAATCTTGGCTCACTGCAACCTCCACCTCCCAGGTCTCAGCCTCCTGAGTAGCTGGGATTAGAGGCATGTACCACCGTGCCCAGGTAATTTTGTATTTTTAGTAGAGACGGGGTTTCTCTATGATGGTCAGGCTGGTCTCGAACTCCTGACCTCAGGTGATCTGCCCACCTCAGCCTCCCAAAGTGCTGGGATTACAGGTGTGAGCCACCACGCCCGACTCTGCTTCTTTTTTATCGTGTTTTTCACTGCTCTGATTTTTTTTCAAGTCAAGTCCTGAACTTGACGCAAATTGATCTTCTCCATACTCCCCTATGTAGTGTCCTTGCATACCCCAGTGCTCCAGTTAGGCCATTCCCTGTGCCTCTTGCAAATGCTTTTGCCCTCCAAAGCCCTTCAGAGTGTATAAAGCCTTTCCTCTTCACAGTCAGGTGTGGTCTCTGCTGAGCTTTTAGCACATTTATTTATTTAGAACTTCAGTAACTTTCTTAAAGTATCTCACGTACTTCCAAATGGTCGAAGATGTGTCTTTAATATTTTAAAAATCCAGCCAGGTGTGGTGGCTCATGCCTGTAATCCTAGCACTTTGGGAGGCCGAGGTGGGAGAATGGTTTGAGGCCAGGAGTTTCAGACCAGTATGGGCAACATAGTGAGACCACGTCTCTACAAAAAATAAAAAAATAGCTGGGAGTGGTGGCACATGTCTATAGTCCCAGCTACTCAGGAAGCTGAGACTGGAGAATCACTTGAGCCCAGTTCAACACTGCAGAGAGCTGTGATCCTTCCACTGCAATCCAGCCTGGGAGACAGAGCAAGCCCCTTTCTCTACAAATAAAATAAAAATCCCCACCATCTTGAGGACTATACCATCTTATACTGGGTGTTTAGTAATTCTTTGTTGAATGAATGAATGCAAAAATGTTAGTATTAGTTGTATTATGTTTACACAATGAAATGTTTCTCCACTGTAAAACAGGTGAATGCACATGTAAACACAGTAATTATTTTAGAATCAGATTTCTTAATAGTGGCATTATTGACATTTTGGGGGATTGCCCTGTATACTATAGGATGTTTCGTAGCAACTGTGGTCTCTACTCACTAGATTTCATTACCACATCTCCCCTCAACTCCAGTTGTGACAACTCACAATGTCTCCAGACACTGCCATATATATTTTTGGTGTTTCAGAGAAGCTGAATAAAAGTAGATCTCTCCATATTAACTAAAGGATAATGGTTAACATCTGTGTGGTACTTTGCGTATAAAGTGCTTTCACATATATCACTCATTCATTCATTTGTTAAGCATTTATTGAGCTCTGCTACGTGCTATACGCCTCTACTGGACACCAGAGTATAATATACTGGTGAAGTACTCCTTGAACTTGAGGCATCATCAAAAATGTGACTTCCCATGAAAAGCCTTCTCCCACTTTGTTAAGTCACTCTGCCCTTCTTATTGTCTAATGCCGCACTCTGTCTCCTTTGCAATATTTTCTATTCTTCTCTCCTTAAGGGTAGGTGTCGTGTCAGTTTCTGCCACCTCTGTGAGGTCTTGAATGCAAGACCTAGTGTACTGCTAGGCCCAAAACAGGCACTCAATGAAACCAGTTGAGTCAGTGGAAGAATGGATGAAAGCAACATGCTTATTGGAAAGAGACAAGCCAAGATTCATTGCTACACAATATGATGGGTACCAAGGCAGAGAAGTGGGTTGCGGGCATTGCGTTAGTCTGTTTTGAGCTGCTATAACAGGATACCACAGACTGGGTAATTTATAAAGAACAGGAATTTGTTTCCTCACAGTCCTGGAAGTTAGGAAGTCCAAGATGAAGGCACTGGCAGGTTCATTTATCTGGTGAGTGTCTAGTCTCTCTGCTTCCAAGATGGCGCCTTGATTGTTGCATCCTTGAGGAGTGGGGGAAGAATGCTGTGTCCTCATATAACAGAAGGCAGAAGAACAAAAAGGGATGAACTCCCTCTTTCAAGCCCTTTTATAAGGGCACCTAATCCCATTCACAAGATAGGAGCCCTCGTGGCCTAATCACCTTTTAAAGGCCCCACCTCTTAATAGTATCACATTAGCAACACTTAGTTTTAGATGAGGCACATTGAAACCATAGCAGGTATAAAAGACAAGCATTTAATCAGACTGTTTGTCAGTTGATAATTTTTCTTTCCCTCCAGGAGACATGTCTATGAGTGGCTGAGAGACCTGTTTAATTCTGGGGTATAGAATTAAGATGGCCACCTGCCTGCAAGTAGAGATAAGCTGCATTCTCCCAAATCAACTTTGTTCATAATAAAAGGAATGTTCTGGCCTCCATATGCCATACTCTTTATTGTCAATTTCTTAAATAGTTCACAACTTGGTTAGAGAAGAGGCAGGCTATCTATTGCCCCATCCTCTACCTTTTTTTCTTTTTTAAAAAAACTAAATACCTAATTGCTATATTGTTATTCTTTTGTCTGTTAGTGCTCTCTTTAACACGTATAAAAATAGACCAAATTGACATGATCATATTTTAGAAAAATACTATTTTCTTTTTTTTGAAAAGGAAACAGAAAAAAAAGATAGATGGCTTAAATTGTCTACTTATCATAACATAGAATTAGAAATCCCAGTCTTTGTGGCTGCCAAAAAAAAAAAAAAAAAAAAGAATGGCCAAAAGATGAAATCAAATAAAAGTCTTTCACGACTCTCTTCCTATGACTGTTAATATGAAGAAACTTAATAGTTCTGAAAATAAAGATGTAAATTGCTGCAGAATATAAAACAGGATAAAGTCACAATAGCCAAAATGTGGAAGCAACCCAAATGTTCATCTGTGGATGAATGGATAAACAACATGAGGTATATATGTACAATGGAATATGATTCAGCCTTAAAAAGAAGTACAATTCTTACATATGCTACAACATAGATGAACCTTGAGGACATTATACTAAGTGAAATAAGCAGGTCACGGAAGGACAAATATATGATTCCACTCATGTGAGGTACCTAGAATAGGCAAATTCATACAGACAGACAGTAGTTTCCAGGGGCTGGGGGTAGGGAAGAATAGTTAGTGTTTAATTAGTATAGACTTTCTGTTTGGGATGATTCTTTTAAAAGTTCAGGGGATTGATAGTAGCGATGGCTACATAACAATGTGAATGTACTTCACACTACGGAGTTGCACAATTAAACATGGTTAAGATGGTACATTTTTGTGTATTTTAGCATAAGAAAAAAAATTTAGGGCTGGGCAAGGTGGCTTACATCTGTAATCCCAACACATTGAGAGGCCAAGGCGGGAGGATCACTTGAGCCCAGGAGTTTGAGACCAGCCTGGGCAACATAGTGAGACCCCATCTCTAACAAAAAATAATAATAATAATAAATTAGCCAGACCTGGTGGTGTGCGCCTATAGTCCCAGCTACTCAGGAGGCTGAGGCAGGAGGATCACTTGAGCCCATGAGTTCAAGGCTGCAGTGATCTGTGATCATGCCACTGCACTCCAGCCTGGACGACAGAGTGAGAACTTGCCTCGAAAAAAAAATTAGTATGATAAAGCGCAGACCATGTATATAATGAAGATACTTCAACCATTTGAAGGAGTGTTCTGTTCTCAAGCCAAATAGAGAACCACATACTATCCCAGAAAAAAACACAGTTAGCAAAGGATCCAGGGAAGCTAGAAAGGCTGGTGTTTTGTGGCTGAGGTCAGTAGAGATGACTGCTCTGTTCATGGAATCCCATGGGTAGTTATCTTCATCTTCTTAGCCACCAGTGACAGGGTACTGCTTGACAGACTGACCCTGTGGTGTGAATATCACATACATTATCATTGAATTTTTGAAACACCTTATAAAGTAGACATTCTCATTTATAGGAATTTAATACCTTTCTGAAATTTGCTAAGTAAGTGGTGCAGCCAACACTTAAACCCTAGATCAGCAGACTCCAAAATTGAAGTACTTTCCTCAGTATATCCCAAGAATAGCTTTAGGAAGAATTATATGGATAATCTGGAGTAAAAGGAACAGGAATTTCTTCATTTAGGTCAGCGAGATGTGCTGACAAGATGACCACAAATGCAGGAATGTTGGAGTAGTGGTTAATATTTAGATGAGAAATCCTTAGAGTTTAAAGAGTGGAATAGCAATGCAAGTTTCTGGCACTACTTCAGTAGGGCTATCTGGAACTGATTGAAGGGGAAAAAATTAAAGCCAGAAAGCTCAGTGGAGCAGATGTCATAGTGGCCACAGCGAAACAAAGATTTTCAAAATGAGATGCTAAGTGAGAAACAACAACTGAGGAGAGAAGTAATTTCTCCAGGGTCACAATGGGCATAAGGAGAATCGTTCTTTTAGACTCTGGGTGAGCTCATAGTAATCCAAGCATTGGTGATGTAGGCCACTGAGTTCTGGCTTTGAGTACATCTCTAATCCTTAAACCTTCACTAAGAGGGAGGTGAAGGGAGTCAGGTGTGCCACATGTCTGGCCACTGAAAAATGCCTAGATGGGAAAGGAGTTTGAAATATTGTCCTAAAATGAAGTTTCTGAGTTAAATGGGCCAGATTTCACCATGTGTTCACTGTTATTATTGTGTAAAATGAAGAGATTTAAATGAGATTAAGATCTTTAATTAGCTTTCTGAGATATTGAAATTTAAGAACCTGGCCAGGCACAGTGGCTCACGCCTGTAATCTCAGCACTTTGGGAGGCTGAGGCAGGCGGGTCACCTGAGGTCAGGAGTTCAAGACCAGCCTGGCTAACATGGTGAAACTGTGTCTCTACCAAAAATACAAAAATTAGCCAGGCGTGGTGGCGCATGCCTGTAATCCTAGCTACTCGGAAGGCTGAGGCAGGAGAATCGCTTGAACCCTGGAGTCGGAGGTTGCAGTGAGCCAAGATTGTGCCACTGCACTCCAGCCTGGGTGATAGAGTGAGACTGTGTCTCAAAAAGAAAAAAAGAAAAAAAAAGAAAGAAAAGAAAACTAAGAACCCAGTGACCTCTGCCGCATACATTGCCTGACTTTGGTTAATGTGGTGACATACTGAGCCCCAAACTGGCATCTGTAATCTCTGATCACTTCTGCACCAAAGCTGTTAGCCTAACTTGGCAATGAAGGCCAAGCTAAGAAGAGTAAGGAATTATGAAGCACAAAGCATAGAATATCAAAACTAGAAAGAAAAATATCTGTTTTCCTAATGCTTTCATTTTATAGGTGTGGAAAATTGAGGACCAGGGAGAGTACCTTGCCAGCAATTTTGTAGTTATGGTTTTAGATAAGAGCTGCACAGTGTTAGGGGAAATTCTGAATGGTGTTCAAGTCCTCCAGCCAGCAGCAGCAGAATGTGGTTTTTCATGTGCACTATGCAAGTAGTGCTTCAGATGGAGCTTATTCTTATTTTTAAGTTATTTTATTTTTTATTTGATTAATTCATTTATTTTTATATATTTTAACAGATTTAGTGACATAAAATTATATATGGTGTACAATTTGATGGTTGATACACACATGCATTGTGAAATGATCATCACAATCAAGCTAATTAACCTATTATCACCTCTTCACAGTTACTATTTTGTGCATGCATGCGTATTTATTTTATTTCTGAAATAATTTTAGACTGACAGAAAAGTTGCAGAAATAGTACAGAGTTCACATATATCTACCACTTTGCTTCCCCGATGTTAAAAACTTATATAACTACAGTTCAATAATCAAAATGAGGAAATTAACTTTGATACAATACTATGAATTAAACTACAGCCCTTTGATTTTCACCGTCTCCTCCCCCACCCCCTACCATGCCTTTTTAATGTTCTAGGATATAATCTAAGATCCCACATTGCATTCGTTTCTATGTCCCCTCAGTTTCCTCCAGTCTGTGACAATTGCTCCGTATTTCCTAGTCTTTCATGGACTCTTGATGAGTACTGGTCAGCTGTTTTGTAAAATGATCCTCAGTTTGGGTTTGTCCATGTTTTCCTCATGATTAGACTGAGGTGATGGGTTGGAGGGAAGAAGAACACAAGGTGAAATGCTCTTGTTATTTCCTATCGGGTACAGGATGCCAATGTGGCTTATTAGTGATACTTACTGCGATCATTTGGTTAAGGTGGCATCTCCCCGGTTTCTTTATTGTAAAGTTTCTTTTCTCCCTTTGCAAATGATAAACATCTTAGAGATGCTTTGAGACTATGATAGCATCCTGTTTCTTCTCAAACTTTTGGCTGCTGATTTTCGCATTCCTTGGTGGATCTTGTCAACGGTTACTAATGTGGTGTTCAAGTGGGGATTTTGTATTTTACTCATTCCTTCTACATTAATTGGAATTTTGTAAGGAAGAAGTGTCTTTTCTCATACACTTATTTACTGAATTATTTATGTATGTCCATATGGATTTATGGATATTTATTTTGTCCTACGGGATTGTGTTAGTTCTTGCCTTGCTATAAAGGAATACCTGACACTAGGTAATTCATAAAGAAAAGAGGGCCGGGTGTGGTGGCTCACTCCTGTAATCCCAGCAGTTTGGGAGGCCAACGTGGGCCAATCACTTGAGGTCAGGAGTTCAAGACCAGCCTGGCTGAATAGTACTTGGTTGTGTGAGTGTATATGTGTGTGTGTGTGTGTGTGTGTATATATACACACACACACACACACACATATATATAGTCACCCAGGCTGGAGGGCAGTGGTGCGATCTCGGCTCAGTGCAACCTCTGCCTCCCGGGTTCAAGTGATTCTTCTGTATCAACCTCCCGAGTAACTGGGATTACAAACGTGTGCCACCACACCCGGCTAATTTTTGTATTTTTAATAGAGACAGGATTTTACTATGTTGGCCAGGCTGGTCTTGAACTCCTGACCTCCAGTAATCCACCCGCCTCAGCCTCCCAAAGTGCTGGGATTACAGGCATGAGCTACTGCACCTGGTCAAGAAAGGCACTTTAGACAGTGCCCGAGTTGAGGATTTGGCCTGTGACTCGCTGCAGTTGCCACACTGTGGCCTTAGAACAGTCTTATCCAGTCCTGAAAACCCCAGTGCCTTGGAAACATCAGGACTGGTCAGAAGGACAGTAAGTCCTCAAGGCACCAGCCCCTGCTCCTCCCCCAAGATCGCGGGGTATTACAAACTCTCTGCAGGACCCATATCCTGGGTGTGGACACCCAGTCCTGCTAGGACCTGCTTTGAGAAGAGTTGATCCCAGCCATGAAACAGCCTGATGCCTTCAGTGAAGCAAGCAGGAAAGGCCCAAGTGATCCTCCTGTATCAGCCTCATGAGTAGCCAGTAGCTGGGACCACAGGCGGCCACCACCACAGCTGCCTAATTTTTTTTGTAGAGACAGGTTTCATCATGTTGCTGTTCTGGAACTCCTGAACTCAAGTGATGTACCTGCCTCAGTCTACCAAAGTGCTGGGATTACAGGCATGAGCCTGTGTATACTCTGTATGTATATATATATATATATACACACACACAATAAGGTATGAGTTTATAGATTCCTGTTCTCTGTAACTAGTGACTATGTTCCCAGGCTGGTCTTGAACTCTTGGGCTCAAGCGATCCTACTGCCTTGGCCTCCCCAAGTGCTGGGATTACAGGCATGAATCACCAGACTCAGTCTAATTTTTGTATTTTTTTGTAGAGATGGGGTTTTTCTATGTTGCCCAGGCTGGTCTCAAACTCCTGGGCTCAAGCAGTCCATCTGCATCAGCCTCCCAAAGTGCTAGGATTACAGGCATGAGCCATAATGCCTGACCCTTTGCCCACTTTTAAATGGAATTATTATCATGTTTTACTGTTGAGGTATTTGAGTTCCTTGTGTATTCTGGATGTTAATTCCTTGTTGGATGAACAGTTTGCAGATATTTTCTCCCATTCAACAGGTTGTCTCTTCACTGTGTTGTTTCCTCTGCTGTGCAGAAGCTTTGTAGTTTAATATAATCCAATTTGTCTACTTTTGTTTTTGTTGCCTGTGGTTTTGAAGTCTTAGCCATAAAATCTTTTCCTAGACCAGTGTCCTGAAGTGCTTCCCCCTATGTTTTCTTCTAGTAGTTTTATGGTTTCAGGCCTTATGGTTAAGTCTTTAATCCATCTCGAGTTGATTTTTGCATATAGTGAAAGGTAGGAGGTTAGTTGCGTTCTTTTGCATATGGATATCCACTTTTCCCAGCACTATTTATTGAAGAGAATGTCCTTTCCCCAGTGAATGTCCTTGACACCTTTGTTGAAAATCAATTGGCTGCAAATGTATGGATCTATTTCTGAGTTTTCTATTCTGTTTCATTTTATACCTGTTTTTATACCAATACCATGATGTTTTGGTCACTAGAGCCTTGTAATATATGTTGGAGTCAGATAGTATAATGTCTCCAGCTTTCTTTCTGCTTAGGATTGCTTTGGCTATTTGAACTCTTTTTTTGTTCCATATGAATTTTAGGATTATTTTTTCTACTTCTGTGAAAAATGACATTGGTATTTTGATAGAGATTTTATTAAATCTGTAGATTGCTTTGGGTTGTATGGTCATTTTAACAGTATTAATATTTTCTGATCCATGAGCATGGATTTGATTTCCATTTCTTTATGTCCTCTTCAACTTCTTTCATCAGCGTTTTGTAGTTTTCCTTGTAGAGGTTTTTCACCTACTTGAAACCCCGTCTCTATTAAAAATACAAAAATTAGCCGGGCACGGTGGCTCACGCCTATAATCCCAGCACTTTGGGAGGCTGAGGCGGGCAGATCACGAGGTCAGGAGATCGAGATCATCCTGGCTAACACAGTGAAACCCTGTCTCCACTAAAAAAATACAAAAAATTAGCTGGGCGTGGTGGTGGGCGCCTGTGGTCCCAGCTACTCCGGAGGCTGAGGCAGGAGAATGGCATGAACCCGGGAGGCGGAGCTTGCGGTGAGCCAAGATCGTACCACTGCACTCCAGCCTGGGCAACAGAGCGAGACTCCGTCTCAAAAAAAAAAAAAAAAAAATACAAAAATACAAAAATTAGCTGGGCGTCATGGCGGGCACCTGTAGTCCAGCTACTCAGGAGACTGAGGCAGGAGAATGGCTTGAACTCGGGAGGTGGAGGTCGCATTGCACTGAGATCATAACACTGCACTCCAGCCTGGGCAACAGAATGAGACTGTCTCAAAAAAAAAAAAAAAAGTTTGATCCCCGTAAAAGTCATTGTTTATAAGGTCAGAATTAACCTTCCTAAAGCAAATATTGTTCCCTCCTGTTTATCTTGCCAAGATTTCCATATCTTTTCTTTTTGAAAGAAAGATAACCAGTTTAAGAAGTGCCACAGGCTGGGCGCCGTGGCTCACACCTGTAATCCCAGCACTTTGGGAAGCTGAGGCAGGAGGATCACAAAGTCAGGAGATCGAGAGCAACCTGACCAACATGATGAAACCCCGTCTCTACCAAAAATACAAAAATTATCTGGGCATAGTGGTGCGTGCCTGCAGTCCCAGCTACTCGGGAGGCTGAGGCAGGAGAATCACTTGAATCAGAGTCAGAGGTGGAGTTACAGGTTGCAATAAGCCAAGATCACGCCACTGAACTCCAGCCTGGCAACAGAGTGAGACTCCGTCTCAAAAAAAAAAAAAAGTGCAACCAGGTGCGGTGGCTCACGCCTGTAATCTCAGCACTTTGGGAGGCTGAGGTGGGCAGATCACCTGAGGGCGGAAGTTCGAGACCAGCCTGGCTAACATGGTGAAACCCTGTCTCTACTAAAAAAAAAATACAAAAATTAGCCCAGCGTGGTGGCTCATGCCTGTAGTCCCAGCTACTTGGGAGGCTGAGGCAGAAGAATCGCTTGAACCCGGGAGTCGGAGTTTGCAGTGAGCCAAGGTCGTGCCACTGCACTCCAGCCTGGGTGACAGAGTGAGACTCTGTCTCAAAAAAACAAAACAAAACAAAACAAAACAAAACAAAAAAACAGTCTGAGTCTGAGCAACATAGTGAGACTCTAAAAAAAAAAAATTCTTCCCGCCTCAGCCTCCTGAGTATCTGGGATTACAGGCGCACACTACTGCCCCCAACATGACAAATGTTTTGAGGGTTTTTTTGAACTTTTTATTTATTTATTTGGTCTTGCTGTGTTGCCCAGGCTAGTCTTGAACTCTTTGAGCTCCTGCTTCCACCTCCCAAACAGCTGGAATTACAGGTGTGAGCCACCATGTCCAGCCAACAAGTGAGTATTTAAAGTAAAAAAGAAGATGCAGTTTCCAAGTTGTTTACCAAAAGTTTACATTAAAATAACAAACTATAGATTGGCTATACCTACCTTTTTTTTTTTTTTTTTTTTTTGAGATGGGAGTCTTGTTCTCTTGCCCAGGCTAGAGTACAGTGGTGCAATCTTGGCTCACTGCAACCTCCACCTCCCGGGTTCAAGCGATTCTCCTGCCTCAGTCTCCCGAGTAGCTGGGATTACAGGCACATGCCACCATGCCTGCCTAATTTTTTTATTTTTATTTATTTATTTATTTATTTATTTTTGAGACAGAGTCTCGCTGTTGCCCAGGCTGGAGTGCAGTGGCATGATCTTGGCTCACTGCAAGCTCCACCTCCCAGGTTCACGCCATTCTCCTGTCTCAGCCTCCCGAGTAGCTGGGACCACAGGCATCCACCACCACGCCTGGCTAATTTTTTGTATTTTTAGTAGAGACAGGGTTTCACCGTGTTAGCCAGGATGGTCTCGATCTCCTGACCTCGTGATCTGCCTGCCTCGGCCTCCCAAATTGCTGGGATTACAGGTGTGAGCCACCACGCCCAGCCCCAGCTAATTTTTTTTTTTTTTTTGTATTTTTAGTAGAGATGGGGTTTTACCATGTTGGCCAGGGTGGTCTTGAACTCCACAGCTCAAGTGATCCACCCACCTTGGCCTCCCAAAGTGCTAGGATTACAGGCGTGAGCCATTGAGCCTGGCCTATACCCTTGTGTTTTGTATCACAAGTTCCAGGAACATGAAGATAATGGGTGAGGCAGCTAGTCAGGATCAAAATGCTTTTATTTGTATTTATTTATTCATTTATTTCTGAGACAGGGTCTCACTGTTTCCCTTAAGTGTAGTGGTGCGATCTTGGCTCACTGAAGCCTCAACCTCCTGGGCTTTCGCAATCCTCCCACCTCAGCACCCCTAGTAGCTAGGACCAATAATTAGCTGGGCTTGTGCAACACCAAGCCCAGCTAATTATTTATTTATTTTTTATTTTTTATTTTATTTTTTTGTGTGTGTCAGAGTTTTGCTCTTCTTGCCCAGGCTGGAGCAACCTCCACCTCCTGGGTTTAAGTGATTCTCCTGCCTCAGCCTCCCGAGTAGCTGGGATTACAGGCATGCACCACCACGCCCAGCTAATTTTGAATTTTTAGAAGAGATGGGGTTTCTCCATGTTGGTCAGGCTGGTCTTGAACTCCCGACCTCAGGTGATCCACCTGCCTTGGCCTCCCAAAGTGCTGGGATTACAGGCATGAGCCACCGTGCCCGGCCTATTTATTTTTTTGTAGAGACAAGGTCTCACTATGTTACCCAGGCTGGTCTTTAACTCCTGACCTCAAGCCATCCTCCTGCCTTAGCCTCCCAAAGTGGGGAGATTACAGACATGAACCACTATACCTGGCCAAATGCCTTTAAATCAGCGGTCCCCGCTGGGCGCGGTGGCTCACGCTGTAATCCCAGCACTTTGGGAGGCCGAGGTGGGTGGATCACGAGGTCAGGAGATCGAGACCATCCTGGCTAACACGGTGAAACCCCATCTCTACTAAAAATACAAAAAATTAGCTGGGCGTGGTGGCGGGTGCCTGTAGTCCCATCTACTCAGGAGGCTGAGGCAGGAAAGAATGGCGTGAACCCAGGAGGTGGAGCTTGCAGTGAGCAGAGATCCCGCCACTGCACTCCAGCCTGGGTGACAGAGCAAGACTGTCTCAAAAAAAAAAAAAAAAAGTCAGCGGTCCCCAACCTTTTTGGCACCAGGTTTCGTGGAAGACAATTTTTTTACAGGGTTGGGGGGAATAGGATGAAACTGTTTCACTTCAGATCATCAGGTATTAGTTAGATTCTCATAAGGAGTGTGCAACATAGATCCTTTACGTGCGCAGTTCACAATAGGATTTGTGCTCCTATGAGAATCTAATGCCCTGCTGATCTCACAGGAGGCAGAGCTCAGGCAGTAATATGCCCCTGCCGCTCACCTCCCACTGTGTGGCTGGTTCCTAACAGGTCATGGACTGTACCACGACCATACCGGTCTGTGGCCCAGGGGATGGAGACCCCTGCTTTAACAATAGCCTTTGGGCCAGGTGAGGTGGCTCATGCCTGAAGTCCCCGCACTTTGGGAGGTGGAGGCAGGATGATGATTTGAGCACAGGAGTTTGAGACCAGCCTGGGCAAGATGGCAAGACCCCATCTTTTAAAAAAAAAATTTTTTTTTTTTTTTTTGAGACGGAGTCTCGCTCTTGTCCCCCTGGCTGGAGTGCAGTGGCGCGGTTTCAGCTCACTGCAGCCTCCGTCTCTTGGCAGTTCACAGGTTCAAGCGATTTCTCCTGCCTCAGCCTCCCAAGTAGCTGGGATTACAGGCGCCTGCCACCACGACCAGTTAATTTTTGTATTTTTAGTAGAGATGGGGTTTCACCATGTTGGCCAGGCTGGTCTCAAACTCCTGACCTCAGGTGATCCACCCACCTTGGCCTCTCAAAGTGCTGGGACTGCACTTTGGCCACTGCACCCGGCCAAAAAAAATTATTTTTTTAATTAGCTGGGTGTGGTGGCATGTACCTGTGGTCCCAGCTACTCGGGAGGCTGAGGCAGAAGGATTGCTTGAGCCTAGGAAGTCAAGGCTTGCAGGTAACTGTGTTTGCACCAGTGCATTCCAGCCTGGGCTATAGAGGGAGACCCTGTATCAAATAAACAAAATAGCACAAAACAAAAATACATAAAATGACTTTGGACATGTGTGTGAGGGGTGCATAACTGAAGTCCTGTCCTCACCTCCTTGGGCCTGATGAATGTTGCATACCTCACATAGCTCAGACTGCTCTGAACTGTTTTCCTTTTCTCACAGTAATCTTTCTAATGTGCCCACGGCAATCTGTGCATATCATAGCACCACCCATGCTGCACTGCATTTATGTGTCTATTTCCTCTCAGCCTGTGAAGTGCCGTTGAGAATGAGCCATTCATTCATTCATTCATTCATTCAAAAAATTTATTGAGTGCCTCCTATGTGACAGGCCCTGTGCTAATATCAGGGATACAGTAGTAAATGAGACAGAAATAAGTGGTCCTTGCCCTTGTGGAGCTTACCTTCTGTCTCTGAGACAGAAACAGATAAAAACAAGTAGTTAGTAGATAATATTGTTACAAGTTTTGGTGAGTACCAGTGAAAGTGACTAAAAAGGTGCCTAATACTGAAAATGTTAGGGCAGGATACAATTTTATTTTAATTATATATTTATTTATTTTTGAGGCAGGTCTGCTCTGTCACCCAGGCTAGAGTACAGTGGTGCAGTCATGGCTCAATGCAGCCTCAACCTCCCGGGCTCAAGCAATCCCACCTCCCACCTCAGCCTCCCGAGTAGCTGGGACTACAGGTATGTGCCACCACACCCAGCTAATTTTTTTTTTTTTTTGAGACGGAGTTTCACTCTGTCACCCAGGCTGGAGTGCAGTGGCACGATCTCGGCTCACTGCAAACTCCACCCTCCGGTTTCAAATGATTCTTTCCTCAGCGTCCTGAGTAGCTGGGACTACAGGTGCCTGCCACCGCGCCGGCTAATTTTTTGTATTTTTAATAGAGATGGGGTTTCACCATCTTGGCCAGGCTGGTCTTGAACTCCTGACCTCGTGATCCACCCACCTCGGCCTCCCAAAGTGCTGGGATTACAGGCGTGAGCCACCATGCCTGGCCCACACCCAGCTAATTTTTGGTTTTTGGTTTTTGTTTTTTTGAGACAGAGTCTCACTCTGTTGCTGAGGCTGAAGTGCAGTGGCACAATCTCAGCTCACTGCAACCTCCGCCTCCCAAGTTCAAGCAAGTCTCCTGCCTCAGCCTCCCGAGTAGCTGCGATTACAGGCGCGTGCCACCAGGCCCGGTTAATGTTTGTATTTTTTTTAGTAGAGACGGAGTTTCGCCATGTTGGCCAGGCTGGTCTCAAAACCATGACCTCAGATGATCCACCCGCCTTGGCCTCCCAAAGTGCTGGGATTACAGGTGTGAGCCACCATGCCCGGCCTTAATTTTTATATATATAATTTTTGAGACAGTCTCACTTTGTTGCCCAGCCTAGAGTGCAGTGGCACAATCTCAGCTCACTGCAACCTCTGCTGCCTGGGTTCAAGCGATTGTCTTGCCTCAGCCTCCTGAGTAGCTGGGATTACACCTGCCACTGTGCCTGGCTAATTTTTGTATTTTTAGTAGAGATAGGTTTCACCATCTTCGTCAGGCTGGTCTTGAACTCCTGACCTGGTGATCCACCCGCCTCAGCCTTCCAAAGTGCTGGGATTACAGGCGTGAGCCACCACACCCGGCCTAATTTTTGTATTTTTTTATAGAGATGGAGTTTCACTATGTTGTCCAGGCTGGTTTTGAACTCCTGGACTCCCACCTCGGCCTTCCAAAGTTCTGAGATTACAATGCGTCAATTCTTGACCATTCTTGACCACGGGGCTTGATCATTAAGTATGGAATGAATAGTCAATTCATTTCACAGCTTTTTGGTCTTTCTTAGACTTCAATGATGCTGCTTCTTCCCCTCTGTCAATTCAAATTCAAACCATGCTTCAACACTTAGCACAAGCTCCATTTCTCCAGTAAATCTTATCAATCAAAACATTCTGAGCAAAGAGAGCAGCAAGGTCAAAGGCCCAGGAAATAAATCAAATTAGAGTAAGAAAACTCCCAAATAGTTCAATGCAACTGGGGCATAAAATTTGAGGGAGACAATGGTTAAAGGAAAGACGGAAAGGATTGACTATGGTCACAATCATTCAGTAAACATTTATTAAGTACCTACAATGTGCTAGGTATTGGGCATGTACACATGGTCCTCATTTTCACGTATTCACAGTCAAGGGCAAAAAGAGACAACTGGGCTGGGCAAGTGGCTCATGCTTATAATCCCAGTGCTTTGGGAGGCTGATGAGGGAGGATTGTTTGAGATTCTGAGGTCAAGACCACTACCAAATATTTAAAAATTAGCTGGGCATGGTGGCATATACCTGTAGTCCTAGCTACTTGGGAGGATCACTTGAGCCCAGGTATCCCAAGCTGCAGTGAGCTACAACTGCACTGCAGCCTGGGTGACAGTGAGATCCTGTCTCTAAAAAAATAGTAATAAATTTATAAATAAAAGTAAAACAAAAGGAGAGACAATTGATAACCAGAAATTGTAAAAAGCACTAAAAGGAAAATGGATGATATAAGAGAAACGTTTTAGAAAACATATTGGCCAGGCCGGGCGTGGTCGGTCACGCCTGTTATCCTAGCACTTGGGGAGGTTAAGGTGGGCTGATTGCCTGAGTTCGGAGTCCAAGACCAGCCTGGGGAACATGGTGAAACCCTGTCTCTACTAAAATACAAAAAATTAGCCAGGCGAGGTGGTGTGCACCTGTAGTCCCAGCTACTCGGGAGGCTGAGGCATGAGAATTGCTTGAACCCCGGAGGTGGAAGAGGTTGCAGTAAGCTGAGATCTTGCCACTGCACTCCAGCCTGGGCGACAGGGCAACACTCTGTCTCAGAAAAAAAAAAAAAAAAAAAAAAGAAAAAAGAAAATAAAGGAAGGAGGGTGGGAGGGAGGGAGGGAGAAAGAAAGAGAAAACATAACAGCCTGGGCGTGGTGGCTCACGCCTGTAATCCCAGTACTCTGGGAGGCAGAGGAGGGCAGATCACTTGAGGACAGGGGTTCAAGACCAGTCTGGCCAACATGGTGGCCTACTCTACTAAAAATGCAAAAATTAGCCAGGTGTGGTGGTATGTGGCTGTCATCCCAGCTACTCCAGAGGCTGAGGCAGGAGAATCACTTAAACTTGGGAGGTGGAAGTTGCAGTAAGCTGAGATCTTGCCACTGCACTGCAGCCTGCGTGACAGAGAAAGACTCCATCTCAAAAAAAAAAAAAAAAAAAGAAAGAAAACATATCTATATTTGTTTAGAGAACATATTTTAGGACTTTAGTTAAGACCTTGGCCGGGCACAGTGGCTCAAGCCTGTAATCCTAGCACTTCGGGAGGCCAAGGTGGGAGGATCACTTGAGTCCAGGAATTTGAGACCAGCCTGGGCAACATGGTGAAATCCTGTCTCTACAAAAAATTAGTCGAGTGTGTGGTGCACGCCTGTGGTCCCAGCTAGCCAGGAAGCTGGGGTGGGAGGATGGTTTGAGTCCAGAGGTGATATTTATGCTGAGAGGTGAAAGATGAAAAGGAGAAAAAGCCAAGAAAGCAAAATTCCAAATGGAACAAACAGCTTGGGTGAAGTCCCGGAGTTAGGAAAGAACTTAATACAACGAAGGAACTGAAAGAAAGCTGATGTTGCTGTAGCTCAGGGAACCAGGGGTGGAGTAGCAAGAAAAATGATGAGGGCCAGGCAGTGGCCGATGCCTGTAATCCCAGCATTTTCGAAGGCCGAGGCCGGCAGATTCCTTGCGCTCAGGAGTTTGAAACCAGCCTGGGCAACATGGCAAAAGTCTACACAGAAATACAGAAATTAGCCAGGCATGGTGGTGCGCGTGTGTAGTCTCAATTACTCAGGAGGCTGAGGTGTGATTCCACCACTGTATTCTAGCCTAGGCAACAGAGCGAGAACTTGCCCCTCTTCTCCCACAAAAAAGATGGAATAGCTGGGCAAGGTGGCTCACCCCTGTAATCCCAGCACTTTTGGAGGCTGAGGTGAGCGGATCACTTGAGGTCAGGAGTTTGAGACCAGCCTAGCCAACATGGTGAAACCTTGTCTTTACTAAAAATACAAAAATTAGCCGGGTGTGGTGGCATGTGCCTGTAGTCCCAGCTACTCTACTAGGGAGGCTGAGGCAAGAGAATCGCTTGAATCTGGGAGGCGGAGGTTGCAGTGATCTAAGATTGCACCTCTGCACTCCAGCCTGGGTGACAGAGCAAGACTCTGTCGCAAAAAAAAAAAAATAAAATAAAATAAAAAGAAGGAATAGCAAGTGAAGGGCCATATTGATCATGACTTTATGGAAGTTGAAGTTTGTGTTTAGTTTTAAGTACAATTGGAAGACACTGATGAGTTTTTAAAAGGAAGTGACATGATAGAATTTCTATTTTAGAAAACTAATTCTGGCAGCTGTGTGGAAAATGAATTGAAAATGGACATACCGCTCTTCTGAAACTTCCTTAAAAAGCTATCGCATAGCCGGGCGCGGTGGCTCACGCCTGTAATCCTAGCACTTTCAGAGGCCAAGGCGGGTGGATCATGAGGTCAGGAGATCAAGACCATCCTGGCTAACACGGTGAAACCCCGTCTCTACTAAAAAATACAAAAAATTAGCCGGGCGTGGTGGCGGGCGCCTGTAGTCCCAGCTACTTGGCAGGCTGAGGCAGGAGAATCACTTGAACCCGGGAGGTGGAGCTTGCAGTGAGCCGAGATCGTGCCACTGCACTCCGGCCTGGGCGACAGAGTGAGACTCTGTCTCAAAAAATAAATAAATAAATAAATAATAAATAATAAAAAAGCTATTGTATAAACTGACCTGCACTGTTTGAAGTCAGAATAGTGATTGTTGGGGGCAGAGTTACTAGAGGGCAGCATGAGGGGAGATTCTGAAGGTGCAGGAAATGTTCTGCTTATTTTCTGGGAGCTGACTATATGAGTATGTTTGGTTTGTTAGTATTCAAGCTTTACACTTGGGATATGTACATTTTTCCTTATGTATATTGTACTTCAATACAAATTTTTAGACTGGGCACGGTGGCTCACCCCTGTAATCCCAGCATTTTGGGAGACTGAGGAGGGCAGATCACTTGAGGCCAGAGTTTGAGATCAGGCTGGCCATCATGGTGAAACTCTGTCTCTACTAAAAATACAAAAATTGGCCTGGTGTGTTGGCGCATGCCTGTAATCCCAGCTACTTGGGAAGCTGAGCCACAATAATCAATTGAACCAGGAGGTGGATGTTGCAGTAAGCTGAGATCGACCCACTGCACTCTAGCCTGGGCAACAGAGGGACACTCACTCTCTCTCAAAAAAAAAAAAAAAAAAAAAAAAAAAAAATATATATATATATATATATATATATATATATATATATATTATATGGTAATAGTTGAATTTAGATGATCCTGCATTAGGAAATAAAATGAAACATATAACGGTTATTACTGGAATAACTGACAAAATTTAAAGATGGAATTTGTATACTAGTATTGAATCACGATTAAATTTCCTTAATTTCATAATCGGGCTGTGCTTACATAAGAGGTAGTCCTTGATCTTAGTAGATACATACCTAAGTATTTAGGGAGATGTGTGATTGGTTTTCAAATGGTTTTGCAAAATAATATGTAAATACATAGGTAAAGATAAACTTGGCAAAATAGTAACACTAAGTGAATCTAGGTGAAGAGTATATGCGCATTCATTATATTATTCTTGCAACATTTGTTTTAAATTTTTAATAGTTTAAAAATAGGCCGGGAGCAGTGGCTCAGGCCTGTAATCCCAGCATTTCGGGAGGCCAAGGTGGGCGGGTCACTGGCAGTCAGGAGTTTGAGACCAGCCTAGGCAACATGAGGAAACCCCATCTCTAGTGAAAATACAAAAATTAGACGGGTGTGATGGTACCTGCCTGTAATCCCAGCTCCTCAGGAGGCTGAGGCACGAGAATCGCTTGAGCCTGGGAGAGGGAGGATGCAGGGAGCTGAGATCGTGCCACTGCACTCCAGCCTGGGCGACAGAGCAAGACTACTCCAAAAATAAATAAATAAATAAATAAATAAATAAATAAATAAATAAATAAAAATAACTAAATTACTTGAAATTGTAATAAGCTAAGTAATAAGTAAAAACTGGAGAAAAGTCATAACAATAATTCGGGAACAAGATGATGTGACGGGCTAAACCTGGCAGTGAAGACACAGAAAAATGAATAAATTCAAGGTATGTTTTGGAGGTAGAACTGACAAGATTTGTTAACTGATAAGGTGTAGCAAATAAAGAAAAAGGGAGGAATAACTGCTGTAAACAAACCTGACCAAAAGGAACAAACTAGCTCCGCCCTTCCCGATTGCAGCCACGCGAAGGAAGTGAGGAAAAGAAAGCAAAGGCCTAGCTACGGGCAGGCTTCCGTTCTAGCGTCGCGAAGAGGCCGTAAAGCACAGAAACCCGTTTGTCCCCTCCCCTAATGGGCGGGCCTTGAGACTGCCCGGCCAATGGCAAGCGAGTAATCGACTGATAATCCAATAGCTCTGGAGTGGGTGGAGTCCTGAGGAATTGGGGTGGGCTGGACTTGGGCCTGGAGTTAGGCATTTCCGCCCACGTGGGAAGCTATGAGGTATAGACCCGGCTAGAATCTGAAGTGCGGGAGAGTGCTGGACCCTGAGTGATGGGGCCGGCGCCAGCTGGAGAGCAGCTTCGCGGAGCGACTGGAGAGCCAGAGGTGGGTTGAGCCATCGGGGAGGAACAGAGGCTCAATGTGCGCTCCCTTGGCTGCAGGGCCCGAGATGGCGTGATCTGACAGCTTGCGGGTGAAAGCCATGCCGGCGGCCCATTCTGGAGGATGTTTCCAGCCAGTGGCACTGAGACAGGGCTTGCTAGGGGTGATGGAACCTGGCAGTATTTGGTTAGAAGCAGTGAAGCCGGTAGAGCCTCTGCTCTCTTCTGGAGCTCTGCACCTCAAAGTTGAAGAGACCCACACTTGGGTCGTTTCTTTTATTTGGTGGTCCTTGACGATAAGCGGGATCTTCCTCCACAGAATTTGTGTCCAGTTCTGTGCTCCCCGCTGTAGCGGAGGGCATACGGTGCCTCTCCTGGAGCGCTCCAGTAAGGCTCTCTGGGATGAGAGGCATCGTGGAGCGGATGGGCCCACGGCTGTAGGGGAAAAGGTTTGGGATCCTGCACGCTTGCCTTTGAAGCCTGCTCATAGTACGGGTGTACCAGTTGTGGAACCTCGAGTGAATAGTGGGACTTCAAGTGTCTTCAAGAATTATTTTGAGGATTTAATGACTTGCTAAATGTGTCCTCTGGGGTCCAGTCGGTTCTAGCTCCTTCCATCAGTGAGTATTTAGTGTAAACTGAGGCAGTCAGGTCTTCCTAGAGGAGGTGGAACCTGGCAGGATTTGGTTGGAGCGAGAATGGGAAAGACATTTGAGAAGTCCCAGGCCTATATCAGCAGAAGAGGAAACTTCCTGAAAATACAAGGGGCCTGGGCATTACTTAGGGCAGGGCTCAGTCAGCTTCTTTTTTTTTTTTTTTTTTTTGACAGTCTTGCTCTGTTGCCCAGGCTAGAATGCAATGGCACGATCTCGGCTCACTTCAGCCTCTGCCTCCTGGGTTCAAGTGATTTTCCTGCCTCAGTCTCCCGCGTAGCTGAGATTACAGGCATGTGCCACCACACCTGGCTAATTTTTGTATTTTTAATAGAGACGGAGTTTCCCCATGTTGGCCAGGCTGATTTCGAACTCCTGACTTCAGCTGATCCGCCCAGCTCCACCTCCCAAACTGCTGGGATTACAGGCGTCAGCCACCGTGTCCAGCCTGGGCCCAGTCAGCTTCTATCACTACCAATTCCAAACAGAGCTCCATGCTTGTGGTGTCAGGTAGACAGGAGAGCTCTTAACTCAAGGAATTTTCGGCTCAGCGCTCAGTGATGTTCATCCAAGTAACGATTCTCCTGAGTTTTACAAAATCTGACTCCTACTCAAAAGAGGGACAGAGCAGGTGAAGCTTTTACCCACAACCTATCATGGTGGCACTTTAGGCAGCAGATGCTAGATACCTATTACCTCAAAATGGCTTCTCCCTCACTGGCCACAGGTGATGGAACCAGCCCTGGAAGGCACAGGCAAAGAGGGGAAGAAAGCATCCTCCAGGAAGCGTACATTGGCTGAACCTCCAGCGAAGGGCCTCCTGCAGCCAGTGAAGCTCAGCAGGGCAGAACTGTACAAGGAGCCTACCAATGAGGAGCTTAATCGCCTTCGGGAGACTGAGATCTTGTTCCACTCCAGCTTGCTTCGTTTACAGGTACTGTTGAGTGTCTGCAGCTTTTGTTCGAGGTGTGTACCTGGGACCCTGAGGCTGATGGACTGTCTTCTACCCTCTCTTACAGGTAGAGGAGCTACTAAAGGAAGTAAGGCTGTCAGAGAAGAAGAAGGATCGGATTGATGCCTTCCTACGGGAGGTCAACCAGCGGGTTGTGAGGGTGCCCTCAGTCCCTGAGACAGAGGTAAGCAAGTGGCCTGGGGAACTGGGAAGCCCAAGAGAGACCTCCAGTGGGGGTATATCAAACAGGGGCCTTGCTGTTACTCTGTTTAAGGGTTGGGGTGCAGGGAGCTCATTCTCACAGCAAGGAAGCTTAGCTGGGAGCGTGGTCATTTGTGTATTCATTCAGCAAGTACTTCCATGCCTTGCAGTATTTGTGTTCTTAGGATATATCAGTAAATAATAGCCTATGCTGTAATGCTGAGGTTATAGTTAATAGATAAGCATAACAGGTAAACTCTATGGCAATGTTAGAATGTGGTAAACACTGGAAAAAGGAAAAAGTAGGACGAGCAATGTAAGGGGATTGGGAGTATTAGAGGATGGGAGTGGTTTACAAGTTTAAAGGGGGTGTTCACAAAGTAGGCCTTATTGAAGTGACATTTGTGTAAAGACTTGAAGTAGGTGAGTCAGCTATATAGATATCTAAGGGAATAAAAGCATTCCAGGAAGGGGGAACAGCCAGTACAAAGGCACAAAGGCAGGAATGTTCCAGTTACATTCCTTGGAATGAATGAGGAATACAGAAGGAGATGAGTTCAGAAAGGTGATGGGGAAAAGTAGCATATCATGCAGGGCATTGTGTCCCGAAGTAGGGACTTTGGCTGTTGCTCTGGGTGAGATGGGGAGCCACTGCTGGATTTTATTTTGCAGAACAGTGATGCCCTCTAACTTTTAAAAGTTCACGTTTTTGTTTTTGTTTTTGAGACGAAGTCTCGCTCTTGTCCTCCACACTGGAGTGCAATGGCGCGATCTCAGTTCACTGCAGCCTCCACCTCTCGGGTTCAAGCTATTCTCCTGCCTCAGCCTCCCGAGTAGCTGGGATTATCACACCCGGCTAATTTTTTTGGTATTTTTAGTAGAGAGGGGGTTTCACCATGTTGGCCAGGTTAGTTTTGAACTCCTGACCTCAGGTAATTTGCTCTCCTTGGCCTTCCAAAGTGCTGGGATTACAGGTGTGAGCCACCGTGCCCAGCCTAAAACGTTCACTTTTCCAGCCTTAAAAAGTTTAGTTTTAGAAAAATTTACTCCGGCTGTTGTGTCAAAAGTAGAATCGAGAGGGACAATGATGAGATTAGAGAGACCAGTTAGGAACTAGTCTAGGCACTGAGAAATGGTGGCTCCTCAAACTAGGGAGGAAAGTAGTGAAGTGATCCATTTCTTTCTTTTTTTTTTTTTTTTTTAAATCTTTTCCTCTCTCTGTTTTAAAAAAGTTTTCTTTTTAGAGAAGTGATCCATTTCTGAATACATTTTGGTAGTAAAATGGGTATTCTTTTTTTTTTTGAGACAGAGTCTTGCTCTGTTCCCCAGGCTGTAGTGCAGTGGTGCGATCTCGGCTCACTGCATGCTCCGCCTTCCGGGTTCACGCCATTCTTCTGCCTCAGCCTCCCCAGCAGCTGGGACTACAGGCGCACGCCGCCATGCCCGGCTAATTATTTTTGTAGAGACGGGGTTTCACCGTGTTAGCCAGGATGGTCTCGATCTTCTGACCTCGTGATCCGCCCACCTCGGCCTCCCAAAGTGCTGGGATTACAGGCGTGAGCCACCACGCCCGGCTCGTAAAATGGGTATTCTTAACAGAGCTAAGTTAAGGTGATTTAAGTGGTTTTGGCTTGAGCAACTCATATGGAGTTGTCTTAGCAAGGAAGACATAGTTATGGGAAGATTGGGAGTTTGGTTTCAAACATATCGATGTGTTAAAATGTCTTCTAGACATAAAGGGTACATGTGAGGAAGGCAGTTGAATCAGTATGTGTCCCTGTCTCTGCCCCCACAGCTCACTGACCAGGCATGGCTCCCAGCTGGGGTTCGAGTGCCCCTCCACCAAGTGCCCTATGCCGTGAAGGGCTGTTTCCGCTTCCTGCCCCCAGCCCAGGTTACTGTTGTGGGCAGCTACCTTCTGGGCACCTGCATCCGACCAGACATCAATGTGGATGTGGCACTGACCATGCCCAGGGTAAGGTCCAGGGTTTAGGGGATAGAGGCCCACCACCTGACTACCTACAAATCCTGGATCCCTCTTTCTTATCTGCCGCTTGCCAGGGGATTGAAGTCAGAATTCTAAATCAGAAGAGCAGACCATTGCAGGCATCCTGAAGGCAGCTTAGATCCCTCGGGCCAGTTGCTGTCCTTTTGGAGCTTTGCTCTCCAGATATGAGAACTGGGCCTAGTGTTGCTAACCGTGGCTCAGGCACTTCTGTCAGCAGAGGAGCCCTGGCTCTCTCACCTTGGTTTCACCTTGGCCCACAGCTCCACAAGCACTTATGTGCCTGGCCTTCTCTTCTCCCCTGGCCCCTCCAGGAAATCCTACAGGACAAGGACGGGCTGAACCAGCGCTACTTCCGCAAGCGTGCCCTCTACCTGGCCCACTTGGCTCACCACCTGGCCCAGGACCCCCTCTTTGGCAGTGTTTGCTTCTCCTACACAAATGGCTGCCACCTGAAACCCTCACTGTTGCTGCGGCCGCGTGGTGAGAGGCACACATTGGGCTGAGGGCATAGCATGGGATGGTAAATCTGGAGGAGAAGGCACAGAGGCACGGAGGCCTCAAGTATGGGGGGACAGGATGGGGAGCCCTCTGGCTCCAAGGGCTCCTGCAGAGTCTCAGCACTCACTGTCTCTGGCAGGAAAGGATGAGCGCCTGGTCACTGTACGTCTGCATCCGTGCCCTCCACCTGACTTCTTCCGCCCGTGCCGCTTGCTGCCAACCAAGAACAATGTGCGCTCTGCCTGGTACCGAGGGCAGAGTCCTGCAGGGGATGGTGAGCAGGCCCTGGTGTTGAGGTGGAGCTGGAGGGAAGAGGTGTGGGGACTTTTCCTCTCATGGCTTCCCTTTTCATCCCACAGGTAGCCCAGAGCCTCCTACCCCCCGCTATAACACATGGGTCCTGCAAGATACAGTTCTCGAGTCCCATTTGCAGCTGCTGTCAACCATTCTGAGTTCAGCCCAGGGCCTGAAGGATGGCGTGGCACTTCTGAAGGTCTGGCTGCGGCAGCGGGAGCTGGACAAGGTGAGTTGGGGGTGGCGCAGCCTCCCTACCTGAGCGCCTGTGTGATGGGCAGGCTCTGACCTCAGCCTCTCCCTGTCTCTTTCAGGGCCAGGGTGGGTTTACTGGGTTCCTTGTCTCCATGCTGGTTGTCTTCCTTGTGTCTACACGCAAGATCCATACCACCATGAGTGGCTACCAGGTCCTGAGAAGTGTCTTGCAGTTTCTGGGTGAGGCAACTAGGTGGGGAAAGGCCAGGGGCTCCACTCCTCCTGGGAATCCTCTCATCCCAGTAGCAGTCTTTTGGTGTTTTGCCATCAGACAGATGAGCAAACTGAATCGGCTGAGGGAGGGTGTCATTAGGGCTGGGTCCCCAGAAGGGGATACCTTCTAATACACTTGTGATTCACTTCAGCCACTACAGACCTGACAGTCAACGGGATCAGTTTATGTCTCAGCTCAGATCCCTCTTTGGTGAGTTGGGGAAGGGCCAGGTCTATGCCAGGAGGCCTGCAAGTAAGGTGCCAATCCTGACCTGCTTCTCTCTACACCCCCCAAGCCGGCCCTGGCTGACTTCCACCAGGCCTTCTCCGTTGTCTTCCTGGATTCCTCAGGCCATCTCAACCTCTGTGCTGATGTCACTGCCTCTACTTACCACCAGGTACCAATGGGCCCCCAATCTGTGTTCCCCTGATGTCTCAGCCCAGACTCTGTCCCTTTTGCAAGTACCAGAACCCCAGAAACTCCTCTTCAAAGAGTTAAGTTTAGGGCATGTCTCCTGGTCTAAGCCCTTGGATCAATGAAGGGCACAGGGATGGTCCCTTCTGTGGCTCCAGGTACAGCATGAGGCACGGCTGTCTATGATGTTGCTGGACAGCAGAGCTGACGACGGGTTCCACCTGCTGTTGATGACTCCCAAACCCATGATCCGGGCTTTTGACCATGTCCTGCAGTGAGTTTAGGGGTGACAGGGTATGTTGGCGGGTCCTGTCTCTTCGGGGCTACAGTGGTGGGGCAAAGGTCTTCAGACAGGTGCTCAGATCATTCAGGGAGGAGGTGGTACTAGGGGCCAGCAACCTGATTACCCCTCTTTGGCCCTTTGTACCCCTCCAGTCTCCGTCCACTGAGTCGCCTGCAGGCAGCGTGCCACCGGCTGAAGCTCTGGCCAGAGCTGCAGGACAATGGTGGGGACTATGTCTCAGCTGCTTTGGGCCCCCTGACCACCCTCCTGGAGCAGGGCCTGGGGGCTCGGCTGAACCTGCTGGCTCACTCTCGACCCCCAGTCCCAGAGGTGAGGTGGTGTAGGTTGGGGAGTTTGGGTCTGAGTTGGGCTGGATCCAGGGTCCCAAGAGACACAAAGGACACACCATTCCTCCAGCTAGGCGTTTCTAGCTAGCTAGAAAGTAGGTTTCTAGGCCAGGCTGGAGGATTGGAGGACTGAGCTCAGCCTTTTGAAATCCTGCAGTGGGACATCAGCCAAGATCCACCAAAGCACAAAGACTCTGGGACCCTGACCCTGGGACTCCTTCTCCGGCCTGAGGGACTGACCAGCGTCCTTGAGCTGGGTCCAGAGGCAGACCAGCCTGAGGTGGGGGACCCCAGCATGTACACTGGAAGGAATGGGGTGGCTCGTCCTCATGGCACCTGGACTGAAGCTTGTTGGGGAGGGTCCACAGAGCCCTTCCTTCCCCAGCTCTACTACCACCCTTGCCTCCTCAGGCTGCTAAATTCCGCCAGTTCTGGGGATCCCGCTCGGAGCTTCGGCGTTTCCAGGACGGAGCCATTCGGGAAGCTGTGGTCTGGGAGGCAGCCTCTATGTCCCAGAAGCGCCTTATTCCCCACCAGGTGGTCACCCACCTCTTGGCACTGTGAGTGTTGGCATCTGGATTCCAGAAGGCAGTGTGGGCTGGGGAGCCTTTTCAGGGGTCTGGCCCAGGCAGTTGAGCGAGAACATAGCCCCAAATTTTCTCACTGTGTCTCTGCCTCTTTTTCAGCCATGCTGACATCCCAGAAACCTGTGTCCACTATGTGGGGGGCCCCCTGGATGCACTTATCCAAGGCCTGAAAGAGGTAAGGGTCTTGGGGTCAAGGCTAGTGATTGTAGAGTAATCAATCTGCGGGGAGAGAGTCCTCTCAGCCTTGGCCAGCTTGCACTTCCTGGCATGTCCAGCAGGCGGCGGTGCTGGCTCTGCTGCAGCCTGAGCTGGGGCAGAATCCAGGTGAAGCTGGCCTTCTGTAGGGTCCAGCCTCCTGACCGTCTTCTCCCTCTCAGACCTCCAGCACAGGTGAGGAGGCCCTGGTAGCGGCGGTACGTTGCTACGACGACCTCAGTCGCCTACTGTGGGGGCTAGAGGGTCTCCCACTGACCGTGTCTGCTGTTCAGGGAGCTCACCCAGTGCTGCGCTACACAGAGGTGAGGTGCAACGGTGCAGGTGACCTTTCTGCTTAGTGGCCCCACCTCTGCTCCAGTCACCCAGTATTCCCCACTTCCAACTCCTGACTCTGGGCACTCCCTCCCAGTCCTAGGCCCATTCCTCAGCCCCTCTTCTTCCACAGGTGTTCCCACCAACTCCAGTCCGTCCAGCCTTCTCCTTCTATGAGACTCTGCGGGAGCGGTCCTCACTGCTGCCCCGGCTCGATAAGCCCTGTCCGGCCTACGTGGAGCCCATGACCGGTAAGAGGGCCCTTGGGAGGGAGTGGGAGGGATAGTTCCAGCTCCAGGCCACAGTATGAGACCTCTGACTCTTCTTCCTCAGTGGTTTGTCACCTGGAGGGCAGTGGCCAGTGGCCACAGGACGCTGAGGCCGTGCAGCGGGTCCGAGCTGCCTTCCAGCTGCGCCTGGCAGAGCTGTTGACACAACAGCATGGTCTGCAGTGCCGTGCCACTGCCACGCACACGGATGTCCTTAAGGTTAGGCTGGTGCAGGCAGATATGTCCCCAGGGAAGGGGGGCACCAGGGATGTCAGGGCGTGGAAGAAGACACCCCTGTGGGTACCACGCTGGGTAATAGGGCTGTAGGCCACAGAGTACTCCCGGGGTTCTGGGCTGACACATCCTTCTCTTTCCATACCTTCTTCCAACAGGATGGATTTGTGTTTCGGATTCGCGTGGCCTATCAGCGGGAGCCCCAGATCCTGAAGGAGGTGCAGAGCCCAGAGGGGATGATCTCGCTGAGGGACACAGCTGCCTCCCTCCGCCTTGAGAGAGACACAAGGCAGTTGCCACTGCTCACCAGTGCCCTGCACGGGTAAGGCCACTGACACAGCTTCTTCCTGTCTGTAGGCCCCCTCCTGCCCCCATTCTCCTCACCTAGCCACCTGTCTCTCCAGGGGCCAGATGGTATCATAGTTAGGGGTATGAGTTCTGGAGTCAGGCAGGTTCTGGAATCCTGGCTCTGCCACTTACTGACTGTGACCCTATGGTCAGATTTTCCTCCTTGGTCCCTATATTTGTCATCTGTAAAATGGAAATAACACTAGGGTCAACTTCTTGGTGCATTTCTTAAGAGAATATGAGATTACATATGTAACCTATTATCACTGAGGCTGGCCTTGGGTAGGGGCTGGATGAACAGTGGCAGTGGGGCCCTGAGTCTCGCTGACACTCCCCTTCTCTCTGCAGACTGCAGCAGCAGCACCCAGCCTTCTCTGGTGTGGCACGGCTGGCCAAGCGGTGGGTGCGTGCCCAGCTTCTTGGTGAGGGTTTCGCTGATGAGAGCCTGGATCTGGTGGCCGCTGCCCTTTTCCTGCACCCTGAGCCCTTCACCCCTCCGAGGTGATTCCCTCCACTTTTTCCCCAGCTGAGAAGTTTCCTTGCGGCCAGCCATCATCCTTCGTGCTGCACCCTAAGTCTACATGGGAATGGGTGGTTGAGCAAGTGGCAGAAGGGGTTCTAAGATGCCCTGCCCTGCCAATCCACACCAGGGGGTCTGAGCTCCATAGCCTGAGAGAAGCCTGGGGATATGTGGCTGGGCCCTGGATTCTTTGCTTACTCCAGCCCTTTAGTTCCCCCCAGGTTGGCTTCCTTCGATTCCTTTTCTTGGTATCAACGTTTGATTGGAAGAACAACCCCCTCTTTGTCAACCTCAATAATGAGCTCACTGGTAAGTGGTAGAACAGGGGTCAGACTGCTGGAAGAACAGCTCTTTATGGATTGCAGGCAAGGGTTTCCCTGGCAGTGTTAGGTTTTCTCTGTGCCTCCCCAGCCCCAGATGTCTAAGCCTGACATGAAGAAGAGGTCCAGGTGAACAGCCTGACCATTATGACATGGTTTGCTCTTAATTGTCAGAGACAGAATGATAGGGTGGTAAGCAAGCTACCTGGCGGGGGGCTGTGGAAGGAAGAGGAGAATAGAAGGGGGATCCTGAATACCACGTAAGAAGTATTAGGGCACGGAGCTAGGAAGTGTAGCACAGATACTCAGACCTCTTGGTGGGGGTGGGAGTGGTGATTTCTGGTTGTAACGTGAGGCACTCGGTCTCTGCAGAGAGCAGGGTGTCAGGTTCCTAATTCCCCAGGTGTGTGGAAGCCCATGGTGGGAGGGGGCCAGGGGCAAGACTCAGCTTGTGCAGGCCCGGAAACCAGACTGGGGGTGCCAAGCAGTGGAAAATTTTGCCTCTGGGCTGAGGTTGGGCGATTAATGCCCCACCCAGTTGAGGCAAATGCGATGTCCCTTTCGTCACCTTTGCCACTTGGTGGGGGGGAGTGTTGAAAAATACCTGTGATGAGCAGCCGTTGGGGGCACCGTAGGAGGACCTGGGGGAGTAGAGGGTGTCTTACAGGGAGGAGCAGGCTGACCCAGGACCCATTCTTGTCTCTAGTGGAGGAGCAGGTGGAGATCCGCAGTGGCTTCCTGGCAGCTCGGGCACAGCTCCCCGTCATGGTCATTGTTACCCCCCAAGACCGCAAAAACTCTGTGTGGACACAGGATGGACCCTCAGCCCAGGTTCAACCCCATACCTGCCCCCTAATGTGTGGTTTTCTTCCCAAGGAAAAAGCAGGCCCAGCCTGACCTGGGAGAGACCCACTTCAGTTCCAGTCTGATGTGTCTGTACCCCGCAGATCCTGCAGCAGCTTGTGGTCCTGGCAGCTGAAGCCCTGCCCATGTTAGAGAAGCAGCTCATGGATCCCCGGGGACCTGGGGACATCAGGGTAAGCTTCTGACCAGCAGTGACTCCAGGGCCTCTGGGGATTCTGTCTTTGGAAGTTCAGCGTTCAGGGATCTCACAGGAGACCCGGTCCCCTTGTTTGGTGAGACTGAACAGAGGAGGTGTTGAAGCTGCTGTGGTGCCTGGGGTGGCAGAGCCTGGGGAACCTGGGTTCCATCTGGGTCTCCTGTTTCTAGCCTGTGCTCCTTCTGCCGGGCTATGCAACAGCTGTTTGCTCTGTGGGTCTTGGTGCTTCAGTCTTCAAATGGGCAGGTGGGCCCATAGAGGGTGGTCAGATGGAAGGAGGAAACCAAGGTGGGCGTGTGGAGAGGTTTGTGGTCCAGTTCCTCAGTCAAGGGGGTCCTGCTGACCCCTCCTTCTCCCCTTCCTTAGACAGTGTTCCGGCCGCCCTTGGACATTTACGACGTGCTGATTCGCCTGTCTCCTCGCCATATCCCGCGGCACCGCCAGGCTGTGGACTCGCCAGCTGCCTCCTTCTGCCGGGGCCTGCTCAGCCAGCCGGGGCCCTCATCCCTGATGCCCGTGCTGGGCTATGATCCTCCTCAGCTCTATCTGACGCAGCTCAGGGTTGGTCCTAAACAGCTGAATGACCTGGGGAGGGGACTTCCAGGTGAAGCTGAGGCTGTGGAGGAGCTCTTAAATGCCTGCCTATAATCTTCTCTGTTCTGTCCCTTTCTAGGAGGCCTTTGGGGATCTGGCCCTTTTCTTCTATGACCAGCATGGTGGAGAGGTGATTGGTGTCCTCTGGAAGCCCACCAGCTTCCAGCCGCAGCCCTTCAAGGTGTGCTGGCTGGTGACAGCTGTGTTCCTGAGTGTGTGCACGTGGTTCTGTGTGGGCATGCATGTCTGTGTGTAGTCTGTCCTATGGGCAAACCCGTGTCAGGTGCGGAGTGTATGGGCTTGTGTTTCTATCCCCACCACCCCCACTCTGTACCCAGCTTGGTGTCTCTGGGTGTGCCGCTGTGACACTCAACCCACATCTCTTCTCTGATTTCCCCAGGCCTCCAGCACAAAGGGGCGCATGGTGATGTCTCGAGGTGGGGAGCTAGTAATGGTGCCCAATGTTGAAGCAATCCTGGAGGACTTTGCTGTGCTGGGTGAAGGCCTGGTGCAGACTGTGGAGGCCCGAAGTGAGAGGTGGACTGTGTGATCCCAGCTCTGGAGCAAGCTGTAGACGGACAGCAGGACATTGGACCTCTAGAGCAAGATGTCAGTAGGATGACCTCCACCCTCCTTGGACATGAATCCTCCATGGAGGGCCTGCTGGCTGAACATGCTGAATCATCTCCAACAAAACCCAGCCCCAACTTTCTCTCTGATGCTCCAGCATTGGGGCAGGGGCATGGTGGCCCATGTAGTCTCCTGGGCCTCACCATCCCAGAAGAGGAGTGGGAGCCAGCTCAGAGAAGGAACTGAACCCAGGAGATCCATCCACCTATTAGCCCTGGGCCTGGACCTCCCTGCGATTTCCCACTCCTTTCTTAGTCTTCTTCCAGAAACAGAGAAGGGGATGTGTGCCTGGGAGAGGCTCTGTCTCCTTCCTGCTGCCAGGACCTGTGCCTAGACTTAGCATGCCCTTCACTGCAGTGTCAGGCCTTTAGATGGGACCCAGCGAAAATGTGGCCCTTCTGAGTCACATCACCGACACTGAGCAGTGGAAAGGGGCTATATGTGTATGAATAGACCACATTGAAGGAGCACAATGCCCTCCTGTGTTGATGCCACTTCCCAGGGTGGAGACAGTGGAAAAGAACCGAGGACAGGAAAGGATTGGGTAGGTGAAGGGGTCAGGGGACTGGTAGTCACCCAATCTTGGAGAGGTGCAAAAAGCACTGGGGGCTACCCGTTAGCTGCATCTGCCCTGGCTGTTTGCCCGTTCATGTCACAAACTGCCACTACTATGTACCTGCAGTGGGGTTGCAGAGATGGGGGAGACTCAAGTCTTACTCCCCAGGAGCTCCCAGGGCCCAAGGAGGAGAATGCTGCCTCCTTTCAGTCTGGTCTACACCCACTTTCTGGTAGCCTCTCTGCTTCCTGTAATTCTGGCTGTTTTTCCAGACTCAGCTCAAATAGTGCCCCTCCTTAAGCCCATCCCTCGCCCCCAGCCTGAGGTGATCTTTCCCTCCTCTGAACTATTAGAGCAGTTACTGTCTGTTCAGTTCGTTTGGCAGGCACACACAGTGGCATAAATTCTATTGTTTTGAACTCTGATTTAAAATTAAATTGCAGCTGGGCGTGGTGGCTTATGCTTGTAATCCCAACACTTAGGGAGTCAGGAGAATCACTTGAGCTCAGGAGTTCTAGACCAATCTGGGCAACAGAGAGACCCCATCTCTTTTAAATAAAAAGTTAAATTGCTTAATTTCCCCCGTATTCCTGGCCTGTCTGCCCCTTTCACATAATTTTAACCTGGTTTCTTGTATGTAAACTCCTTGAGGGCAAGAACATGTTTGAACATAGACTTCTTCGTGTCCTTCCTAGCACCTATTACAGTGCTTTGCTCAGGGGCCATCCAGCACAGGCAGATGGGGGGCAGAGAAGCCCACTGGAAGATTGCAGAGTAAAGGGAATCCATTTGTGAAATCTGCCTGCAAGAAGTGGGTGGTGACGGTGAAAGAGAAAGCCTAAGAGATTATAGAGTTGACGTTTATTGAGGGCTTAATAGGTGCCAGGCGGGGTTAGGTGGTGGTATCCGTATCTTATGTGCGGAAACTTGTCGTACAGTCATAACGAGCCGTATGGAGTAGGTACTTTCATTTACCTTCATTTTCTGAGTGAGAGAACAGGCTCAGCGCAGGGGCCCGTTGTGTGAGGAACTTTGATGCCTGGCTAGCAAGCTCCATCCTCAAGATGAGAAGCTGCATGTGGGAACTCTGGCCTCCAGTTCTGTCTCAACTGTTGGTCTTTGTGAATCACTGCTTGCCTCTACTGTCACTGCCATGGAGCAGCTCAGCCCAGGGTTGAAATTAGAATAGGGAGGGAATAAATTGGCTGGCTGTGTGAGCTGGAGTCCACATCTCTCCCTCTGCTATTCATTCTTGAGCTTCAAGCATCAACGTGCCAGGCTTTATTTTCCAGGAGTGAAATGTAATCCCATCCCTTGTGGAGCCCCGTGGTCCATGGTCACCCTTGGCTCTTCCTCTTGCCTCCCTTGGTCCCTTGGACTATTTGTCCACAGTCACTCCATGGGCTCCTGGGAGGGCCAGGGTTGCTGGAAGCCTAGCAGGAATCCTTATGTGTGAGCAAGTGTACACAGGATAATGGTTAAGCATCCTCATGGATGTGCCTGCCTTGGCGGGTCTCTGCCTTTAACTTTGCAAGTGTGGCAGATCACCTGTTTCATCTCCAGGTCAGTTGTCTGTAGCTTCAGGCCCTTCACAAACCCAGCTCTTGATTATCCCCATGGGGGAGGGGGTGGAATCTGCCCCCAGGCAGGACTGTAGCAGGTGGCTCTAAGAGGTGCAGTTACCAGTCCCAATGGGAAATGAGCCCTGGCCCTGCCACCTCATGTGGCCCTGTGCAAATCACTTACCTTTGCTGGGTTCAGTCTTCCAACCCATAGAATAGGCATGGTAATGGCTTTGTCAGCTGACCATTGCCCAGTGTGGCAAGGAAAGAGGGCTGAGAATTTAGAACCCTAAGGCGCTGCACCATACCTTCCTGTTCTCCCTGCTCCAGTTCCACTGGGGAGGTGGCTGGGCAAGAAGCCCTGGGTCCAATTTCTTTCTTTCTTTCTTTTTTTTTTTTTGAGACTGAGTTTCACTCTTGCCCAGGCTGGAGTGCAATGGCATGGTCTTGGCTCACTGCAACTTCCGCCTCCCAGGTTCAAGCGATTCTCCTGCCTCAGCCTCCCGAGTAGCTGTGATTATAGGCGCCTGCCACCACGTCCTGCTGATTTTTTGTATTTTTAGTAGAGACGGGGTTTCGCCATGTTGGCCAGGCTGGTCCCGAACTCCTGACCTCAGGTGATCCACCCACCTCAGCTTCCCAAAGTGTTGGAATTACAGGCGTGAACCACTGTGCCTGGCCCTAATTTCAGTCCCTCACAGTTACAGCTCCAACCTGTTTTCCTCAGGTTTTCTCTGGAAAACAGGTGAGCAAACTAGTGTTCAAGATGACTGCCCTAGGCTCCTTTGCCCCAGCCCAGGATGACTCTTGTCTAGCCACAGAGGCCCCAGCTCCAGAGTAGGGAGGTGCTCAGGCTTTAGCTGAGGGGCCAGGGGAGGGGAGGGTGGAGATGGGCAGTCAGGAACCAGAACCCCAGGGGAAGGGAAGGGGAAAAGCCTAGCAGGAAGCCTTATGTGTGAGCAAGTGTACACAGGATAATGGTTAAGCACCCTCATGGATGTGCCTGCCTTGGTGGGTCTCTGCCTTTAACTTCACAGGTGGACAGAGACAGAGTGGATCTTAAGTATGGCATGATTTGTCTGTTCTGTGTGTGGTGCACGTGCACGCCTCTGTATGCACTAGTCTGTCTGTCTGTCGGTATTCACCTCCAGCTCTGGTTTGCTGCAAAAGGGGAACTCTGCCCTGTTTTTTAGAGGGCAGGTTAGAAAAAGCTCTCAAGTCAGAGGCAGGGACCCTGGATTTCTTCCCCTGGCTTTAAATGAAGCTTTCTTCTTGGGGTTTCACTTTTCCCAGTTTTTTTTGTTTTGTTTTTTTTTTAAAGAGACTGGGGGTCTCACTATGTTGCCCAGGCTGGTCTCAAATTCCTGGGCTCAAGTGATCCTCCCATCTTGGCCTCCCAAAGTGCTAGGATACAGAGTTTCCCGTGTTCTGACTGACCTAAGCCTCATTTGGTGAACTCAACAAGGGCCCTCCTTTCTGGCTATGGCATCTGACAACCTCCTCTACCCCCGAATCCTGTTAGCTGAAGACCCTATTTTCCTCTGCCCAGCTCCATACTTTGGGGGAGGAAAGCAAGAACCCCAAGCCTAAGGGGTCCATATGGCATGTTATATCAATGAAATCCTCAGGGCTGCTCAGTCCCTGACCTATTAAGTCAGATTTAGGCTAGCCAGCCCCCCTCCCCCAAGTTTACATGTAACCCCCCCAACATCCGGTACTTGCTTTATGAGTCACAGATTAATCCAGGTGAGTGATAAGGGCGAGGGGAAGCCTGGGGCACGTGAGTCACCCGTACCCTTCACAGGAAAGGCCAATCTGCTCATCTACCCCTGAGAGGGAGAAGGAGGAGGCATCTCACACTGCCCCAGGGAACCAAGGAGGACCAAGAAGAAGGGTGTTTCAAACCAGAGGGAGACTTCCTCTTCTACTTCAGAAATGAATGGGGAGTATAATTTTCTGGTTTATATCAGGCCAAGATGTGTAGGAACTTGTCTAGGGTCACACAGGAACTTGTGGGGTACAGCTACTGAGAATCTAGGTGTCCTGGCTCCAGGCAAGCCACCTGCTTGAACTTGGCTTTCCTGGGGCCAAGGGGTGGAGTGTGGAGGAAGAAAGGACTAGAAACGCCTGAGCTGCAGACCTCTCCAGTGGGGCAGGGGAGTAGGGAAAAGCCAGGAGCCTCACCTGTTTTGGGCCACTTGCCAGCCTAACCCCTTCTCCTTCTTCCCAAGCCTTTTATTTATTTATTATTATTATTTTTTTTTTTATTTGAGACGCCCAGGCTGGAGTGCAGTGGCCCGATCTCGGCTCACTGTAACCTCCGCCTCCCAGGTTCAAGCGATTCCCCTGTCTCAGTCTCCCAAGTAGCTGGGATTACAGACACTCGCCATCATGCCTGGCTAATTTTTGTAGTTTTGTAGAGACAGGGTGGGGGGCGGTTTCACCATGTTGCCTAGGCCGGTCTTGGAACTCCTGACCTCAGGTGATCCACACACCTCAGCTTCCCAAAGTGCTGGGATTACAGGCATGAGCCACTGTGCCCGGCCTGCCCAAGGCTTTTGAATGCAGCTTTTATCAGCAGCCCAGAGGAGCAGGGTGAAGGATATGGAGAGTGGGGTTGTGCAGGGAGAGAGGGAGTATGAGCATTCTGGTCAACCTCAGCTCAAGCCTAAATCTCCTCTGTTCCCTGGCCTGGGAGCTCAAAAGCAGGACCCAGCTCTCCTCTATTCTCCCAGATTGGAAACTTCCACAGGTCAGGGCTTGGGTCTCCCCAGGACTGAAGAGGCCAAGGTTGGGCCCTGTCTGGAGGGGCAAGGAAGCACTCAGACTGAGCCCCAGTTCCACTTGATGACCAACGGTTTGGATGAAGAGGATAGTTATGGCCAGGCACGGTGGCTCACGCCTGTAATCCCAGCACTTAGGGAGGCCGAGGCGGGCAGATCATGAGGTCAGGAGATCGAGACCAGCCTGGCCAATATGGTGAAACCCCGTCTCTACTAAAAATACCAAAAGTAGCTGGGTGTGGTGGCACGTGCCTGTAATCCCAGCTACTCAGGAGGCTGAGGCAGGAGAATTGCTTGAACCCGGGAGGCAGAGGTTGCAGTGAGCTGAGATTGCATCACTGTACTCCAGCCTGGGTGACAGAGCAAGACTCCATCTCAGAAAAAAAAAAAAGAAAATTATGGCATCCTGCCCTCTCCCCAGTCTCCCTCCACAACCTCCACAATGCCCCCACCCCCATCTCCCAACCTATGGGGGTCCCTCTGGAGCCTAGTTCTCACTGACCCCCAGTCTCGAGACCAGGAAGTCATTCTTGAAGTCTGACTTTGGAATCTCCTGCTGCAGCCTGTTCCCTCCCCTGGATTCTTCCCCTGACTCCTCTCACCTGGGGTGGGTTGCTAGTGGCTCCCCTATAATTAGCCACCAGACGGGGCTGGCCAGAGGGTAGAGTGTACTGGGGCTCATGCACAACCATCACCTAATGCATTGCCAAATGCATAGCCTCCTTCTGCCACCTCCTCCCCACCCTTCACCCGCACCCCCTGCCCTTAGACCACAGGCCTTTTGGAGAACCATTGTCTTACTGGCCTCTCGGTCCCCACCTGAGGTTCCTGTCCACCCAGTTCTGCCCCCTTGAACTTCTTCAGCTGCTTGCCAGCTTGCCCTCCTCACTCTGCCTCCTAAACCCTTCTCCCTCCCCACAGCCATTGCCGGCCATCTGGCCTCGCTTCCTCCTCCATGGCCTCCCTCCCAGGCTTCCAGCCTCTGTCTCTCTCTTCCAACCCATCTTCCACTCAGCAGCTGGAGGGGTCCTTCTAAATGGTAGATTGAAACCATGTCACTTACCTGCTTAAAACCTTCAGGGCTGCCATTAGCCACTGTTCTTAGTGGTGTCACATTTGTCAATTGTAATCTCGTTCAGAACCCTGATGTAAGGCTGGGCGCAGTGGCTCACACCTGTAATCCCAGCACTTTGGGAGGCCGCAGCAGGTGGATCACCTGAGGTCAGGAGTTTGAGACCAGCCTGACCAACATGGTGAAACCCCGTCTCTACTAAAACAAAATTGGCTGGGTGTGGTGGTGCATGCCTGTAATACCAGGTACTTGAGAGGCTGAGGCAGGAGAATCGCCTTGAAAAGGAGAATCACTTGAAAACCTGGGAGGTGGAGGTTGCAGTGAACTGAGATCGTGCCATTGTACTCCAGCCTGGGCAACAAGAGCGAAACTCAGTCTCAAAAAAAAAAAAAAAAAGAGCCCTCATGTAAAATGGTTAAGATGTTTCGGTTGAAGCAGGAGGTGGGGCCAAGGCTCTGCCTTATCGGCTTCCTTCTCTCCACCTCCAGCTGCAGCAGTCCCTATAACAGCTTCCTTAGAACCTCAGGGCTTAACAAATATCTAAGTTCAAATACCTCTTGGCCCTGGGTAAGCTTCTGCCCATCAGTATGGAACCCAAGGCCCTTCCCACACTACCTGGGTCCTTTCCTCGCCTCCTTGCTGCTGATCTCGTCCTGCCTAGGCAGGCAGTCAGCCCTGCTAGGGTCTGGCCCTGCAGTCTCTCACCTGGAAAACCCTCCGTAAAATCCCCAGCCAAATGTTTCTTCCTCTAGTAAGCCCTCTGATTGTCCCAGCCCAAAGGATGCTCCATGTGCCCTTCCTGGCTGCAGGGGCCAGGCTAATGCTGGGCCTCAGTTTAGGCTACCTAGGAAGCCTGTGAGCTTTGTTTCTTTTCTTTTCTTTTTCTTTTTTTTTTTTTTTAAGATGGAGTTTCACTCTTGTTGCCCAGGCTGGAGCGCAACGGCGTGATCTCAGCTCACGGCAACTTCCGCCTCCCGGGTTCAAGTGACTCTCCGGCCTCAGCCTGCTGAGTAGCTGGGAACACAGGCGTGTGCCACCACACCTGGCTAATTTTGTATTTTTAGTAGAGATGGGGTTTCTCCATGTTGGTCAGGCTGGTCTTGAACTCCCAACCTCAGGTGATCCACCCACCTCCCAAAGTGCCTCCCAAAGTGCTGGAATTACAGGTGTGAGCCACCACGCCTGGCTGAAATTTCTTTTTTCTTTTCCTTTTATTTTATTTTATTTTTTGAGACGGAGTCTTGCTCTGTTGTCTGGGTGGAGTGCAGTGGTGCAATCTCGGCTCACTGCAACCTCTGCCTCCCAGGTTGAAGCGATTTTCCTGCCTCAGCCTCAGCCTCCTGAGTAGCTGGGACTACAGGTGTGCACCACCACGCCCAGCTATTTTTGTTTGTTTGTTTTTAGTAGAGAAGGGGTTTCACCATGTTGGCCAGGATCATCTCAATCTCTTGACCTCATGATCCGCCCGCCTCAGCCTCCCAAAGCGCTGGGATTATAGGCGTGAGCCACTGCGCCCAGCCACCTGTGAGCTTTCTTTTCCTCCTCCATCTCTGGTCCTGACCCCTCATCCTCTTAAGCAACCCTCTCCTAGTTCCAGAAGCTTTCCTGCCAGTGAGGATGGAGATAGGAAATCAGAAAACCTAGGGGCTCCAGGCATCCTGAGGTGTGAACCAGAGCCCTCCAGACCCCCTAGGCCTGTCACAGTGATGACTGGTCTGTGTCAACTCCATATCACTAACTCCCTTCCCCCTGAGGCTGGCATGGGGCAGGCCCAGCAGTTTATCTCTAGACCTCGCAACAGATGCGCATCTCCTATCTCTGGTTTTTATAAACACGTGACCCAGACCCACAGCCTGGCCCAGACAGGGGCACACAAGGAGATGCACACATGAGCCTCCCAAGTAGCTGGGATTACAGGCGTGTGCCACTACGCCCAGCTAATTTTTGTATTTTTAGTAGAGACGGGGTTTCACTATGTTGGTCAGGCTGGTCTTGAACTCTTGACCTCGTGATCTGCCCGCCTTGGCCTCCCAGAGTGCTGGGATTACAGGTGTGAGCGACCACGCCCAGCCTAGTACAGTTTTCAAAGCCGGAAACATACAATCTTCTTTGATTCTTACAAGGGCCCCACCGGGAGGTGGGGGCCCCCTTCAACTGAAACCTCCAGGTGACAGATGAAGACACTGAGAGAGACTCTGTGGGGGTGGGAGAAGAGAGCCATCTAGGTGACCTTACTGTTCAGTGGCCAAGCCAAGCCTGGAGCTCAGATTCTGGGTGTGCAAGAGAGTTTTGTCCCCATCAGCCTAGTCCCTAGGACTCTGCACTCTTAGCCTCTAGGTCTAAGCCTCCATCCTATCGCTCTGCTGTCTCAACATGACCCTTAGCTGTCCTAAACCCTCAAAGGCTGCTGAGGGCAGGTCAGGGACACCAGGCTGTGAACCCAGAGTCCCCAGGGTATGGGTCAAAGGTTGATTCTTCTCAAGGCCCAGCTGGACATCCAGCTGAAGGTGCCCAAGGCTGGCGGAGTTTGTATTCATGGGCTCTCCCCCAGGTCACCCATTTAAAGATGGAAGTAGCTGCGTTGGCGCAGGAGGAGGAGTCTGGGGACACTCTTAATAGGGCAATTCATCTCAGCTCTCTGCTCCTGATTCCAGTCCACAGCCAGCTCCCCACCCTTGAAGCCTAGATGCAGGAACAGTTTTCAACAGTGGCCTAAGAGTGGGAGCACACTCTGGAAAGCAGGGTTGAGCATGGAGGGACTCAATGGGGTTCTGTGCCCGGGGTCCCTGCTCTCCCTGTGCCTCAGACCTGTGGCTCCCTAGTCTTTCTGCCCTGTTTACCTGTCCTCCCCATCCCTATGGGGTTTGAATCCCGGATCAGCACTCAGTGGCTGAGTGACCTCAGCAGGTGACTTCTCTCTAAATCTCAGTTTTGTCATCTGTGAAATGGGGAAAATACACTCATTTCTGGGAGCTGTTTTGCAAAGTGGGAGGAAGTGCTTCCTAAACTAGAATATGTCTGCATGTCTGCTTTGCTCTGCCCCTCCCCCACCCCACTCCAATGCTCTGGAAGAGATTAGGGGTTTGGGGGTACTCTAGAGTGAGTAGCTTCCTATGTCTCCACCCCCACCTCTGACTCACTAACAACAAGGAAGGCCCAGGTCTCTTTCTTTGCTGGTTCGGGCTGCTCCCATTCAAGCAGAAAGAGTTTGGGGTCAGGAAATGAAAGGTGTGGCACTCCCACCCCTTAAAAGGGCCCCAGCCAGCCCCTCTGGTCCAGCAGGCTGAGACTTGCATCCTTAGCCCTTCCCTTGCCTGGGAACCCACTCCTCCAGCTCTGACCTTAAAGAAGTCATGGGCTCCCACGGGGTGGATGGGGATGTTCAGGCCCCTTCCCTGGCTCAGCTCCTCCCACCCAGGTGAGACACAGGCCTTGCTCAAGATGCCCTGGGAGGAGGGGGAACCTCCTCATCAGCCTCCTCCCAGAGCACCCAGGAGGGCTGGCTCCCAGCCTGCACTCAGCCCTGGCTCTCCTTCCCAAAGCACAAGCGGAAGCCCTGAGGACCCTGGGCAAGCTGTGACTCAGAGGGCTGGGGCCTCACCAAGCTCAGTCTCTTCTCTGTGGAGCCATGCTTTCTTCCGCCTTTGGCTCTAGGGGGCGCCAACCACATTGACTACAAAGGGAATGCTGCTCCCAGGGTCGCAAAATGGAGCAGTGGGCTTCTGCCCCCCCGAGTCAGGCCAGTCCGGTGCTTCTGCACAGGCATCCTCAGATCCTGACCCCTTTCTGTCCCAGGTGACCCAAGGAGGGCTGACAGGAATAAGGGGCCCATGGAAAGTACTGCATCCTTCCCCTTCCTCCAGCCAGAGTCCTCTCACATCCATTAAGAAGAAGCACGAAGATCTACCCATGTCTTCTCAGTTCCAACTCTAGCCACTCCAATGTGTATGTGTACGTATATGTATGAACATGCGTGTACACATGAGGTATGGACATGAATGAGTTTGGTGAGAGTTCACGGAGTCATGGTCCTGAAGGTTGGGCCCTGATGGAGGGGGTGGGGAACAAGGACATTGAGACCCAGCCCTTGTTCTGCTAGCTAAACCATGTGCCTTGGCATGCAGCTGCATTGACTGGAGGGGGTTGCAAAGATACTCTATGGTGAGCTGCAGTCCAGGATTATAGATAGACACATACATGCATGCATACATGGGTGAGTACAGGTAGCTGCATATGTATAAATAAATGCTGCTCAACGTATATAAGACAGACAAATCCATAATTGTGTGTGTAACTAGCTACTTCCTGGTGCAGCCCACGAGAAAACCCATGTGAGGTGAATGCAGACAGATGTGTGTGCAGGTTGCTTTTTTGTTTATTTGCTTTTTGAGACGGAGTCTGTCTCTGTCGCCCAGGCTGGAGTGCAGTGGTGCGATCTCTGCTCACTGCAACCTCAGCCTCCTGGGCTCAAGCGATTCTCTGGCCTCAGCCTCCCGAGTAGCTGGGATTACAGGTGCCTACCACCATGCCCGGCTAATTTTTTTTTGGCGAGGGGATAGAATTTCGCTCTTGTTGCCCAGGCTGGAGTGCAATGGCACGATCTCGACTCACTGCAAGCTCTGCCTCCCGAGTTCAAGCGATTCTCCTGCCTCAGCCTCCCAAGTAGCTGGGACTACAGGCGCACACCACCACACCTGGCTAATTTTTGTATTTTTAGTAGAGATGGGATTTATCCATGTTGGCCAGGCTGGTCTCGAACTCCTGACCTCAGGTGATCCATCTGCCTTGGCCTCCCAAAGTGCTGGGATTATAGGAGCAAGCCATCGTACCCGGCCTAATTTTTGTGTTTTTAGTGGAGACAGGGTTTTACCATGTTGGCCAGGCTGGTCTTGAACTCCTGAGCTAAAATGATCTGCCTGGCTTGGCCTCCCAAAATTCTGGGATTACAGGCATGAGCCACTGTGCCCGGCTCCAGGCCAGGTTCCTTTTTTTTTTTTTTTTTTTTTTTTTTGTGATGGAGTCTCGCTCTGTTGCCCAGGCAAGAGTGCAGTGGCGCCATCTTGGCTCACTGCAAGCTCTGCCTCCCAGGTTCATGCCATTCTCCTGCCTCAGCCTCCCGAGTAGCTGGGACTACAGGCGCCCACCACCACACCCAGCTAATTTTTTTTTATTTTATTTTTAGTAGAGATGGGGTTTCACCTTATTGGCCAGGATGGTCTCGATCTGCTGACCTTGTGATCCGCCCACCTCAGCCTCCCAAAGAGCTGAGATTGTAGGCGCGAGCCACCATGCCCGGCCTCCAGGTTGCTTTTATAAGGGAAGAGGAAAAGAAATAAAAAATAGAAGTGTGTGTAGTGTCTGCTGGTGAAAGAGCTTCCCCTGTTTTTCTCCCCTGCTCTGGTTCCCAGGCTAGATTTGGATGCCAGCAGACCCAGGATGGGACAGGGTGACAATGGGGTGTTGTGGGCTGGGTTTCCCTATTTTCTTTCGGTGTTGAGGAGTCCCTTGCCAGTTTCTGCCCTGTGCTGCCTTTGCAGCTCCACTTGAGGCAGGGATGGGCTGGATGCATATTATAGGGTGGGAGGAAAAGGGGGCAGCATGGCAGGGGTGCTCTACCACTCCCATAGCCTGTGATCTGGGCCCTGGCACCAGGAGTCTATGGTTCTGTCTTGAGTCACAGGCTGGCAGTGGGGCCAGAGGGCAGGTACTCAGTGATGGCTCCCTGATTCACCACGGGGCCTCCCAGCCTATAGAGGCCTGGAGGGTAGGGTGCATCTTTCTGGGTCAAGGGTCATTAGAGTCCTCATGTGGGGGTTCTATATATGTGTGAGCCCATGGCGAGGCTCTCATGTGAATGGGATCCCTGATCATGGGAGCAGAGCTCAGTGTCTATAGGCAAGTGTGTGACTGCAAACCACAGGGTGTGTGTGTGTGTCTGTGTGTTTGTGTGTGTGTATGCGCAAGCACCTGCATGTATGTGAATCTACTTCATGTGTATGCTAAACCCATCTCTTTGGGCATGAACCACCTCTGGGACTGGGAGCCCTTATTTCCTTTCTTTTCTTTTCTTTTTTAACATGCCTATCTAGGCCAGGTACGGTGAATCATGCCTGTAATCCCAGCACTTTGGGAGGCCGAGACGGGTGGATCACCTGAGGTCAGGAGTTCGAGACCAGCCTGGCCAACGTGGTGAAACCCCGTCTCTACTAAAAAAAACAAAAAACAAAAAACAAAAAAATTGGCTGGACATGGTGGTGCATGCCTGTAATCCCAGCTACTCGGGAAGCTGAAGCAGGAGAATCGCTTGAACCCAGGTGGGGTGATCTTGGCTCACTGCAACCTCTGCCTCCTGGGTTCAAGTGATCCTCCTGTCTCAGCCTCCCGAGTAGCTGGGATTACAGGCATGTGGCAGAGGTGGTTGATGCCCAAAGAGATGGGTTTAGCAATACTCATAATCCTACAATCCAAGCACTCTAGGAGGCCAAGGTGGGCAAATTGCTTGAGCTCGGGAGTTCCAGACCAGCCTGGCCAACATGGCGAAACCCCTTCTCTACAAACAATACAAAAATTAGCCGGGCATCGTGATGCATGCCTGTAGTCCCAGCTATTTGAGAGGCTGAGGTGGGAGGATTGTTTGATCCCATGAGCTAGAGGCTGGAGTGAGTCATCATCCATGTTTTTAAGAGCTTGTTTAGCTTCTTCTGCTACCTCTCCTGACACAACCTGTCCACTTGAAGGGTCCATGCCTATCTGTCCTGAAATGTCAATGGTCCTGTCACCTAACATAGTTTGACTGTAGGTCCCAGTGGCCCCTGGGGCTTTCTTGGTGCTGATCACATTTCTGATCAAGGACGACAGGACTAACCCTTCTCTCTTTTGGTCCCTCTGGGAGAAGAACCTCTGCACTAGCCCTGCTCGCTTCTCAATGAACCGTGGGAGCCCTTTTTTTTTTTTTTTTTTTTGAGATGGAGTTTGGCTCTTGTTGCCCAGGCTGGAGTGCAATGGCATGATCTCAGGTCACTGCAACTTCCGCCTCCTGGGTTCAAGTGATTCTCCTGCCTCAGCCTCCCGAACAGCTGAGATTACAGGCACCCGCCATCACGCCCGGCTAATTTTTGGTATTTTTAGTAGAGACAGGGTTTCACCATGTTGGTCAGTGTGGTCTTGAACTCCTGACCTCAGGTGATCTGCCCGCCTCGGCCTCCCAAAGTGCTGGGATTATAGGCGTGAGCCACCACGCCCAGCCGGGGGCCCTTATTTCTCATATTCGTCCCTCAAGGGACAAGTCCTCAGGGTCATTAGCCCACCTGGATTAAGTCCCTCTGGAAAATGATTTCTTTGATCTCCTCTGGCAATGCTGCCATAGAAGCTCAGCCTAAGGGCATGTTGTTTGCTCCCAGGCCACCAGATGTTTCCTTGTTATTAAAAGCAGCATAGAGGGCAAGGTTGCACTTCGGGAGGCCGAGGTGGGAGGATCGTTTAAAGCCAGGAGTTTGAGACTAACCTGGGCAACATAGCAAGACCTCATTTTTACAACAGATTTTTAAAAATTAGCTGAGTGTCATGGTGGCACATAGTCCCTATAGTCCCATCCATTCTGGAGGCTGAGGTGGGAGGATCACTTGGGCCCAGGAGTTCGAGGCTACAGTGAGCTGTGATTGCACCACAGCCTGGGTGATGGAGCAAGACCCTACTCTTTAAAAAGAGAGAGAGGGCAAGGTTGTCCCATGATCCCCCTCAGATAGGGCTGACTCCCCCATAATTAAGTTTGCTTAAAGAGGCAGACTTGCTGGGCTCAGTGGCTCACGCCTGTAATCCCAGCACTTTGGGAGGCTGAGGCGGGTGGATAACTTGTGGTCAGGAGTTCGAAATCAGCCTGGTCAACATGGTGAATCCCCATCTCCACTAAAAAAACAAAAATTAGCTGGGCATGGTGGTGTGCACCTGTAATCCCAGCTAATCGGGAGGCTGAAGCAGGAGAATCACTTGAACCTGGGAGGTGGAGGTTGCAGGGAGCCGAGATCACGCCATTGCACTCCACCTAGGCGACAGAGAGAGACTCCGTCTAAAAAAAAAAAAGAGACAGACTCTTCCTTGGCTGGGGGTAAGTCAGATGGGAGAGGAGAGGGTTAAAAACAGCTGGGACTCAGCCTGCTGGCAAACATGTGGCATGTGGCATGTCGGGGCAACTGCAGCTCAGCCTCTGGAGCCATGTGAGCAATGCACGCAGGTACACGTGTGACAAGCTAGGTCACCTAGCCATGTTCAACAGGCATGTGCACAGCCACGAGGAATGCCCAGCCGTACAATTAGGCACACAGGACATCCGCCATGTGTAGACACAGCTGTGGACATAGCTGGCCAGGACATGCGACACACGACGTGCTCATAGCACAGGGAGAAGGGCCCATGAAGTCTGGTTGGAACTCAGCACGTGTGTCTGTGTGCCCACCTGAGTCTGGACTGCTGCCCCTCTGACACTAGCTGTCCCCTTGAAGGGTCGGTGCCTTATCTGTCCTGACAGAAGAGACAGTGTTGCTTCTCACTTGGGGCTCGCAGCCTCCTCCTCCTGCCTCGAACTGAGGATCTGTTGGGTCCAGTCATCCTGGAGAGATGCGGCCAGTTTCTTTCTGACAGGTCTCCTCCTGCCCGCAAGGAAGTGGGGTGATCACAGGGCGCAGGTGGTCTCTATGACAGCTGCATCCTCTCCAGCCATGGCCCTGAACCCTGCCTATAATCCCACCATTGGCTCTCAGATCTGCCTAAGCCTCTCAGCCCCCTTGACGTCCCCTCCCTTAAGCGCCCTCCGAAGGCCACCCGTCCCTCAAAGCTCCTCACACTCCATGCCCGCAGCTCCCTCCACCCGGCGTCCGCACCAGCCTCCCAGCCGAGGTGGGGCGGGGGCGAGGGGGCGCGCACTCCTCGGCGCTCCGGGACTGCAGGGCGGGGCTGCAGGGCGGGCGGGGCCCGTGTCTCCAGCGCTCCTATAAAGGGAGCCACCAGCGCTGGAGGCCGCTGCTCGCTGCGCCACCGCCTCCCGCCACCCCTGCCCGCCCGACAGCGCCGCCGCCTGCCCCGCCATGGGTCGACAGAAGGAGCTGGTGTCCCGCTGCGGGGAGATGCTCCACATCCGCTACCGGCTGCTCCGACAGGCGCTGGCCGAGTGCCTGGGGACCCTCATCCTGGTGGTGAGTGGAGGGAGCCGGGGAAGCCCTTCTCTCTCCAGCCCTTGCACTCCCCAAACTCTCACTTCCCCGAAGGGGCTGTGTTTTCCAAGGTAGCCTGGACCCACCTCCCCAGCTGTGACCCCCACGCTTAACCGCGGAGGATCAAGCTGACTTCCAAAGTCCTCTTCCCCACGGTTCTAACCCCCTCTCTGACAGCTCCGACTCTTGCCAGAATGACAGCTGTTACTCCCCAGTGATAGTGCCGATCGTTTACCCTCCCACAAGTGACTCAGCCAACAGGCTGGGGGCAGCGGTCACGCTTGCAGTCTGGGACAGCCAGCCACTTCCCCTGCCTCCCACACCCCTCCAGATTCCCAGAATCCCAGCCCCCAGATGTAGGGGAGGGGGCGGAGGCAAATGAGCCATTATTAGGTTATTTGGGTCCTGGGTGTCTGGCCTCTAATGAATAATTAAGCCTCAAAAAGTCCAAAGGTTGAAGTGAGTGAGGACAGTTTGCACGAGTGGGGGCAGAGGGTGCAGGCCACATGGGCTGCGAACAGCGAAGTGGGAAGGGAGGCAGATTCTGACGGTAGAAGGGTGGGAGGAAGCTAGGCCCAGGCACAGAGGACGCGTGTCTAAAGTTGCTCACCTGGTGCTCAGCGACTCCCAGGCCCTGTCTGTTATCCAGACAGATGCTGTCAGCGTCTGTGCAGAAGACGACAAGCATTCTGGTTACTCCCTGGCCTCTTGGTTACTCTGTGGGTTCTCTGAGTGAGCATTTCCCTGCCTGAGTTACTCCTCAGTCCTAGTTACTCCTTGGTCACACCAGTTTCACCCTGGTTTTGTTCTGAGTGACTCTGTTTGCACTTCTTAGGTCTGGCAGACCCACCAGTTATGTTCTATTTCCTGTCCCAGTTACTCTGATTTTTCAGCCGCTCATGTGGTTACACCTGTTTTCCTCTGTGTTCAGTTGCTACATTGCAGTGAGTGGGTTACTCCGTTCCTGCCCCAGCCCTGGGTAGTACAGACCAGCTGGCCCACTGTGGACTAGGAAGCCTAACTAAGGGCAAGTAGGGATCCCCAAATGGTTGAGGATCAGGATCTATGGGCAGAGGAGGGCTGAAACCCACTTCTGGCTTCCAAGAATAGGAAGTGGGGAAGCCACAGGGGGCATTTTATCCACAGCCTCCCATAAGATTAGTCGTCCTATCAGCCAGCCCTAGCCCCTCTCTCCTGTGCCAAGAAGGCAATAGGAGGTGGCCTTTATCACTCTCCTGCCTCGGAGCCCTCACTCCTATCGGAGTCCTGAGTCCAGCCACCTGTTTTAGAGCAGCCAGGCTAGGGGAGGATGATGTCTTCTATTTTCCTAGAGGGGCCTCCTCATTCCCTCCCAAGTCTCAGTTCACTCTCTCACAAAGGAGCCGTTAGTCCTCCCACTGAGCCCCAGGATCATCAGGCTTATCCCAGACCACAAAAGAAGAGTGTTAAATTTTAGGGGAAGGGTTGCAGACTCAGATGGATGTGAGGTATTGGATATCAGTGAGAAGCAGAACTTCAAGGACTGCATGAACTGGAGGGGCAGGCCTGGGGATCCCTTTGTAGTGGGTGAGTGCCTGCCTGCCTACCTGCGTGTTGGGAGCCTAGGCCTGCAGTGGCAGAATCAGGGTTGGCTTTGGGGTGAGGAAAGCCCCTTTCTCTGAGATACCTGGTGTGAGGGCAGGGGGCGGTGCTGGCCGAGAACTCAGGGCAGGGGTTGGGGGAGGAAGAGGAAGATTAGCCCCAAGGTGGTGGAACTGGCTCTGACAGCTCCTCCCTCCAAGGCGTCCTGGGATGGAGCCAGGTCTGAGCCTTTGGCAGGCAAGGAGCTGCTGCCAGGGCCTCCCAAGCAGGGCAGGGCGCCTCAGACCCTCACGTGCCTGTCTCCCACCACCCCTCCTCACACATACACCTGCAATCTCTGATCTTTGCTCTCACCTGCCTGCACACCTTTGCCCCATGTCATTGCCGCTGGCTTCTCCGTTATCTCTTGGTCTTTCTGGGATGATAATCAAAATGCTTAACTATCCAGTACAACAGGCACTGACCCGTCAGAATAAACAAGGTCTGTAGCACAGGTCCTGGAAACTGCCTGCTCTGTGGGCATAAAACCTTTAGTTATGGGCAGGTGGGAGAGGAGACCAGGGCAAGGCATTGGAGCAGCTTTGAGGGACACTCAGGGGGCTCAGGGCAACAATGCTTTACAGCTGCTGCAGAAGTATTTTCAGGCTTGAACAAGGGGAACAGACATAGTACGTTCTTTTTCTTTTTTAAATAGAGACAAAGTCTCACTATGTTGCCCAGGCTGTTCTCAAACTCCTGGGTTCAAGATCCTCCCATCTCAGCCTCCAAAGTGCTGGGATTACAGGTGTGAGCCACCACAGCTGGCTCCAGTATGTTCTATATTTGTAGAACACCAGGGCTCTTAGTCTCTTTTAGTTCCCCCATTTTTGGCAGAAAGTTTAGAACCGATCTCCCCATTTCTACAGCCCTGGGTCCCGGGCTGGGGATAGTGAGAGGAGCCACACAGATCCCTGTCTGTAGGACCTCCAAATCTGAGTGGGGAATCTGGACCCCTGAGAGCAGAGAGGTCATGGGTGGAGAGAGGAGACGCTGGGACAGGGACAGGTAAAGGAAGGGGAGGTTGTTGAGGGGGACATGGTGAAGGCTGGGGCTCTGGCATCCTGGACTCAGGAGAAGTGGATTCAACCTCACTTCTGGTCTCCTCCCTATTTATTTATGCCGCCCATTGCCACCACTACCACCACCACATGAGCTTTTCTTTTCAACTCTTTTTTTTTTTTTTTTGAGATGGAGTCCCGCTCTGTCGCCCAGGCTGAAGTGCAGTGGCGCAATCTTGGCTCACTGCAACATCTGCCTCCCATTTTCAAGTGATTCTCCTGCCTCAGCCTCCCGAGTAGCTGGGATTACAGGCACCTGCCACCACGCCTGGCTAATTTTTGTACTTTTAGTAGAGATGGGGTTTCACTATGTTGGCCAGGCTGGTCTCAAACTCCTGACCTCAGGTGATCCACCCACCTCGGCCTACCAAAGTGCTGGGATTACAGTGTGAGCCACTGCACCGGGCCTACATGAGCTTTTCTTTGGGGCAGCTGGGGGATGAGTGAGAGGCTTCCCACCTTTATGGTCCAGGCCTGAAGGGCTGTGGAGAAACTTGTGCTAAGGTGAAAGCTGTTCCCCTACACCTACGCCTGCTGAAATTCAAGGAAAATCAGTGAAGATGGTTCAGTCATCTTCTAGGATCCCAGTCGCAGACCCTGCTTCCAGCCCTTTCCATAGGGCCCTCTCATATTAGAGTTGGGACAGTGGGGTGGGAAGGCATGTGTCCTTTTTCTGGAAAGTGCAATTACAGCAGAAGGGGTTTGGGCTGGGTTCCAGGAAGCGCCTCTAGTCCTCCCAGTGGTGGCGAGTGGGCATGTTGCTGGCTTCACCCCTTCCTTCTGGAGTGAGAGTTGCTGGTCCTCACCCTCCCTGCCTGTTCTTCTTCCTGACAGATGTTTGGCTGTGGCTCCGTGGCCCAGGTTGTGCTCAGCCGGGGCACCCACGGTGGTTTCCTCACCATCAACCTGGCCTTTGGCTTTGCTGTCACTCTGGGCATCCTCATCGCTGGCCAGGTCTCTGGTAAGGCCTTAACCCTGCCCCCAGCCCTTGGCCCTCAATAGCATTCCCACTAGGTGTCCTGGCATTCCTAAGGGCAGGTCACAGCTGTGGCCTCTGCTTTGGCCCCTTGGGAAAGGAGGGTGGAGAAGAAACTTGACACTTAGAACTTTCGACTCTCACCTTGGAATCAGAGATTATCAGCTGACCTGTTACATAGACCAACCGCCATCCTGTGCAAGAAACCCCTCTCTGCACCCCTTCTCAGGGGACCCTAGCCTGCCGACTGTGGCAGGCTGCAGCTAATAGGTCCCTTGTCCCCTCTGCCCAGGGGCCCACCTGAACCCTGCCGTGACCTTTGCCATGTGCTTCCTGGCTCGTGAGCCCTGGATCAAGCTGCCCATCTACACCCTGGCACAGACGCTGGGAGCCTTCTTGGGTGCTGGAATAGTTTTTGGGCTGTATTATGGTAAGCATTCCCCACCCTGTCCTCCTCCACTACCCCCGTCCCTCTGTTCAGGACCTGCTGGCACCAGGCCTTTTGATGACAGACGGCTAGGACCTGCCCAGGCCCCGGGCTCATGACTCACTCATTCACGCACAGGGTCAAGGTAGGGGGCACGAAGGGAAAGAAACAAGTTGGGCAATAACAGAGTCTCAGGCCCTCCACCCCACCCCACGCCACCCCCTCTGCCTGCTGCAATACAGCAGTATTGCTACTTACCCATAACTCATGGGAGGGTGGGGAGGGCACACCTGAGAGGGAAGTCTGGGCTCAGGCCTCTCCCCCGACTCACTGTGTGTCTAATCTGTCACCAGATGCAATCTGGCACTTCGCCGACAACCAGCTTTTTGTTTCGGGCCCCAATGGCACAGCCGGCATCTTTGCTACCTACCCCTCTGGACACTTGGATATGATCAATGGCTTCTTTGACCAGGTATGGGCTGGGGACGTGTGAGGGGAACGCAGGGAGGGGACCGAGTTGCCTTGGTAGCTCATGGGCTGGTTGGGGGACAGGACTCCTCGACTGTAGCAGGGTTTCTCCAATCTGTGGGGTAACCCGCATCAGAACATGGTGGCAAGTACTTACAAAACATGCGGCTCTCCAGCGGGTTCTTGTCACGCAGACATTCTAGCACCATTGCTTTCAGGAGAAGAGCATGGGCGGGCGCTGACAAGAGTTTAAGAGCTAGAGGGAAGACGGGGGATGGAAGGAGGGGTCAGAGAAAGGGAGGGAGCTGCAGCTCACCCTGTTCTCCCCACTCCCCAGTTCATAGGCACAGCCTCCCTTATCGTGTGTGTGCTGGCCATTGTTGACCCCTACAACAACCCCGTCCCCCGAGGCCTGGAGGCCTTCACCGTGGGCCTGGTGGTCCTGGTCATTGGCACCTCCATGGGCTTCAACTCCGGCTATGCCGTCAACCCTGCCCGGGACTTTGGCCCCCGCCTTTTTACAGCCCTTGCGGGCTGGGGCTCTGCAGTCTTCACGTGAGTACAGCCCCCACCCAGCTCACCCCAGCCTGCCTCTCCTCTGCCCTGCCCCCCATGTCCCTGACTATGAGTGTCTGTCCCCCCAGGACCGGCCAGCATTGGTGGTGGGTGCCCATCGTGTCCCCACTCCTGGGCTCCATTGCGGGTGTCTTCGTGTACCAGCTGATGATCGGCTGCCACCTGGAGCAGCCCCCACCCTCCAACGAGGAAGAGAATGTGAAGCTGGCCCATGTGAAGCACAAGGAGCAGATCTGAGTGGGCAGGGGCCATCTCCCCACTCCGCTGCCCTGGCCTTGAGCATCCACTGACTGTCCAAGGGCCACTCCCAAGAAGCCCCCTTCACGATCCACCCTTTCAGGCTAAGGAGCTCCCTATCTACCCTCACCCCACGAGACAGCCCCTTCAGGATTTCCACTGGACCTTGCCCAAATAGCACCTTAGGCCACTGCCCCTAAGCTGGGGTGGAACCGGAATTTGGGTCAATACATCCTTTTGTCTCCCAAGGGAAGAGAATGGGCAGCAGGTATGTGTGTGTGTGCATGTGTGTGCATGTGTGTGCATGTGTGTGCAGGGGTGTGTGTGTGTGGGGGGGGTTCCCAGATATTCAGGGCAAGGGACCAGTCGGAAGGGATTCTGGCTATTGGGGGAGCCCAGAGACAGGGGAAGGCAGCCTGTCCATCTGTGCATAAGGAGAGGAAAGTTCCAGGGTGTGTATGTTTCAGGGGCTTCACATGGAGGAGCTGCAGATAGATATGTGTTTCTGTGTATGTGTATGTCTGCCTTTTTTTCTAAGTGGGGGCTTCTACAGGCTTTTGGGAAGTAGGGTGGATGTGGGTAGGGCTGGGAGGAGGGGGCCACAGCTTAGGTTTGGAGCTCTGGATGTACATACATAAGTAGGAGCAGTGGGACGTGTTTCTGTCATAATGCAGGCATGAAGGGTGGAGTGAAGTCAGGTCATAAGTTTCATGTTTGCTTTTGTTTTGTTTTGTTTTTAATGTATGTAGCAGATGTTACAGTCTTAGGGATCCGGGATGGGAGACCCCACTTTAGAAAGGGTCGTCACTCCTTTAATCCTCTACTCAACAATGTACTCTTTTACTTTTATATTAAAAAAAATAAAATAAATATGTGCCTAAAACCTCCAGTTGTGCAAATATCTTTCTGCTTGCTCTGCTGCTTTTCTGGGGCCAGTTAAGGAGCTTCCGCATGCCCACACTGACCCAGGGTGCCCGGCTGAGTGTCTGATCTGGTCAGGTTACCCTGGGGGTCATACAGAGAGGTTAGAGAGCCTCTTCACCAAGGCTCTCAGTTTGAACTCAGTGGTCCCAAACTTTCCCCCAAGTTTCCGTCCTCATGGGTACCCCCAGCATAATGAATGGAATCTTCTTCCCAATCCCTGTACCCACACATCACCCCAGAAAGGCTTGAGCCCTATGCAGGGAAGATCTTGCTGCAGAGCTACCCAATGGGGAGAACTGCTGCCCAGGAGGTGGTGAGTTCCCTGTTCCTGGAGGAGACCCATCAGACTGGGAACCTGTATTGTCCTCCACAACCTGCAGCTATTCAGGCTCCATAACCTCCACCCAGACCTTGGCCACAGCCCCCCTGGCAGCCTCCCTGCCTCCAGGCCTGCCCCAGTCAGTCCACAAAGCAACCAGAGGGATCTCTTCAAAACCTCTGCTGAAAGTGCCCATCTGGAGACCATCCACAATGCTCCATCTGGCGTTCAGGACCTCCAGGTAGGGTCAGGAGCCTACCCCTCCTCTCACATGGCTCCATCCACCTCAGCCTACTTTATGTGTTTCTGTGTTTTTGTGTCTTCAGACTTTGCTCCAAAGTCCCAACTCACATCTTTGCTCATTAAAGTCCTCATGATCTGCTTTAACGCCTCTTCCTCCGGGAAGCCATCCCTGCTCTGCCTCACTCTTCCAGCAACTTCTAGTCAGCTGTCTTAAGTGCCAAGACCCGCAGTTGCGTTCACGCTCATCTCCCCTTCTGCTTCATTTCTTCAGTCATTTCTTCACTTCTACAGAGGCACCTCTGTGCCCAGTAAGGCAGGGGGTTGGAAGACTGACTCTGGCGCTCTGACTTGCCCAGAAAAGCAACGGGCTCGGCACACCTGAGAACAGGAAGCTTTTCTCATTTGCTTCTTCCTTACCATACCCTCCTCAAGTTTCATCAAGGGAAACTTCATGCAATACAAGGGAAGGCATCCCCTACCCAATCCCTCCTCTGAGCGAACCCCATGGGAGCCAGAGGATCCCTGGGTGTGGCAGGCGAATTGTGGTTTTTAGAAGCTAAGCCAGCTTTTGCTCTCCAGCCTTCACAGATGAGATCATGGTCCAGAGAGGGCGGGTGGCAAACACAGGGTCACACAGCCAAGAATCTGCCTACGGAGGTGAGGGCAGGAGAAGGCAATACCATTTTAGGTTTCTATCCCTTCTTTGTCCCCAGCTCCCAAGAGGCGTGTCTGGAATGCTGGAGGGACCTGAGCCAGAGGGAGTGTCCCCTTCCCAGGCCCTGGGGGGAGGAAGGGCAAACCTTGGGAGGGGAATACGGCTGCAGAGGGTCATTCCAGCCACACCAGTCCCACCTGGGCTGCCCTCACCTTGCTGTCCTCCCCAGCATGCCCCATGTCCTTCTGTCACCCATTTCTCTCAAATCCTGCTGCTGACCCTGACCAGTCAGCCTAGGGGGTGTTGGCAGCACTTTTGGTGCTGCCACCTGGCCCAGCAAGGATTCTCTAGCTGGGTGACCTTGGGGTAGTCATGTTCTTTTCCTGAACCTCCCTTATCTGTGAATTGGGAGATATTGAGAGGAGGAAATAATGGAAGATGATTCATGGAAAGGACTTAACACAGTGATTAGCAGATGGTAAATCCTCAATAAATGTCACCTCATGATTTTTCCTGCAGAACCAGAGATGGGGGTGGGGAGGCAGTGGAGGGAGGATGCTAAAGGCTGTTTTTTTTAAAGGTCATTGAATTCAATATCCTCTTCCTCCTCAGATTCCTTCCATGGATTCTGAATTTCCCGAGAAAGGGGAGGGAGGAAGTGTGAGGGCGATAGCGTGCTGTGTCCTGACTTCAGAAGGCTCTTGGGAGAGATGGAGGGGAGACAAGAGGGGCTCACACACAGGATGCAGGGCAAAGAAGCACGTGGCCGCAACCAAGGGAACGTGTTGCCTGGAGGGTCAGGCCATGTGAGAGAGGGTAAGGCCCGGCCAGGACCAGGAGCAGTGGGTCAGGGCAGGGGCTGAAAGGGACATGAGCCAGGCAGCAGCTGTGTCACCCCTCCAGGGGTAGAAGGGAAGCTCCCCACCTCCTCACCCCACCTCCAGGTGTACCTTCCACCAGCAGTTCTGGCTGTCAGAAAGTTCTAGCAAAACAACTCTTCATCTCCTTTAGGAAGGTGTCTTCTCCCGGCCGGGCACGGTGGCTCACACCTGTAATCCCAGCACTTTGGGAGGCCGAGGCGGGCGGATCACGAGGTCAGGAGATCGAGACCATCCTGGCTAACACGGTGAAACCCTGTCTCTACTAAAAAATACAAAAAACTAGCTGGGCGTGGCAGCGGGTGCCTGTGGTTCCAGCTACTCGGGAGGCTGAGGCAGGAGAATGGCATAAACCCAGGAGGCGGAGCTTGCAGTGAGCCGAGATCGCACCACTGCACTCTAGCCTGGGCGACAGAGCAAGACTCCGTCTCAAAAAAAAAAAAAAAAAGCCGGGCGCAGTGGCTGACGCTTGTAATCCCAGCACTTTGGGAGGCCGAGGCGGGCGGATCATGAGGTCAGGAGTTCGAGACCAGCGCGGCCAACATAGTGAAACCCCATCTCCACTAAAAATACAAAAATTAGCTGGGCGTGGTGACACACGCTTGTAGTCCCAGCTACTTGGGAGGCTGAGGTGGGAGAACCGCTTGAACCCAGGAGGCAGAAGTTGCAGTGACCTGAGACCATGCCATTGCACTCCAGCCTGGGTGACAGAGTGAGACTCTGTCTAAAAAAAAAAAAAAAGGAAGTTATCTTCTCCCATTCCATGTAATCCATTTTCTGGTGAGGACATGAAGGGAGAATTGCATCCCCTATCTCACCTCTGTCCCTTCTTCCTGTGCTGAGCCATCTCCACAGCCCACTTTGGAGGAGCTCATGTTTCCTTAAAATTCAGATCTGCTTGGGTTAAAATCAGTCTCTGTGAAACTTGAGCTTGGTTCCTGTTTCTTAGTGTGCCTGCCTCAGTGTGTGTGTGCACCCAAGCAAATGCACTTAGTGTTTCTGGTTGTGCCTTTCTTTCAATGTATCTGGTTATGTCTCTGTGGGTCCAAACCTCTGGCAGACCATGTCTCTGTCTCTTTCCGAGTATCTCTTACTGCCTGACTCTTTGTGTCTGGGTCTTTCTTTTATTATTATTATTATTATTATTTTTGAGATGGAGTTTCACTCTTGTCATCCAGGCTGGAGTGCAATGGTGTGATCTCAGCTCACTGCAACCTCTGCCTCCTGGGTTGAAGCAATTCTCCTGCCTCAGCCTCCCGAGTAGCTGGGATTACAAGCACATGCCACCACGCCCAGCTAATTTTTGTATTTTTAGTAGAGACAGGGTTTCACCGTGTTGCCCAGGCTGGTGTCGAACTCCTGACCTCAGGTGATCCACCTGCCTTGGCCACCCAAAGTGCTGGGATTACAGGCATGAACCACAGTGCCCAGCCTTGTGTCTGGGTCTTTCTTTGTGTACCTCTGAGTGAACATCCTGGACTGTGACCCTCAGATCACATCTCTGCATGTTCCTCTGAGCCCCTCTCTCAGTGTACTTTGAGTACACCTCCATGTACTCAGTGCATATCTCTGCCTGCCAGCCAAGTCTCACTTGTGTTCCCCTAGGGCAGGCCTCCTCCTTAATTCCTGGTAATGAGCTCCCTCCTTCCTCTTTCCTCTTGATTTTGTTTTTCTGAAAACCTAGGTGGGGCACTTCTAGGCTTGGGGAAACGTGGGTGGGGTAGAGTTGGGTGGGGTGGGAAGGGGAGAAGAGGGACTACTCCACCCAGTACAGGGACCCCAGGGGCCAGAGACAGCCTGGATCCCCGAGGAACAGTTTGTGAGGTTGCTGGCCTAAGCAGGGCCTCGAACCTTCTGGCTGGGAGGAGGGAGCCTGTCTTGCGGGTAGGACCCCTGAGCTATGGGCCCTGGGAATGTGGTAGTACAAAGAAAGGAAATATGGAGATGGAGACCCTGGGGCCACCAGGGAGACTGGAAGGAGGCTTCCTGGGTAGAACCTCGGAGTCTGACGGGGGCAGGGGAATGAGTGCGTCTGCCCCCAGCTAGGGATGGGCTCCTCAGGGACTCAGCATCTCCATGTCCCGGGCTTTGGCTTTTGGTGCCAGGTTTGTCTGAGGTAAGGGAGGGGGTGGCAGTGGAAACACAGAGGATGTGTCTGGTCTGGGCACCTAGGCTGTGGAGGGTGCCAGGAGGGGACACCTCCTCTTTGTGTAAAGGCAAAACTAGAGTCTCATCTAGAGTCACAGAGCAGAGCGGCAGAGCCTGCACTAGACCCCAGTCTTCTCAATCCCTTCCCCAGAGAGCATTTCGCAACATCTCAGGGAGTAGGGCTCTGAATGCAGATTACCTAGGTTCCAAACGAGCCTTTCCCAGCCACGGGATCTTGGGTGGGTGGGAGTCTCCATCTGCTCCAGATCCAATCCCTATCCTGTTCTGTGTCTCAGGAGGCTAATCTCTACGGGCGGGGCGGCATTCCCGGGGCCTTCTTGCCCTCAGGCTTCCAGCTGGGTTTGGCAAATGGGAGACACAGCTAGGAAACCAGAGGGCAGGAAGGGTGGGGGGATAAAGGTCAGGCTATTCACGCCTTTTCCAGGGCTCTGGTTTTTCCTGCATTCTAGAACACTGCTCTCCCCTTGCCTCTTCTGGCTGAGGGGGAACGGCTGCTGTTGGTTAGTCCCCAAGCCGTCCCTGGTTGGTCCCCTTGACTCTACCGCCACCTCTGTAAATAGTCCCTCCTCAGGCTCTCTTCAGTGAAGCCTCAGAGGACACTATCTGTGCCTGCGGCATCCCTGACTGATGTCACCTCTCTGAATATCAGTTTCTTCCTCTGTGAAATGGGGATAGTAATAGTATCTACCTCATTAGGTTGTGCAAGGCGGGGTAAGTGGATTAACACACGCATCAGAACAATGCCAGATGTGGCAGGAAGGGCTTTGGAAGTGCAGGCTATAACGATGGTGACGATGACTCCTTCTGAGCTCCCTATGTACCGTGGGGAAGGAAAGCATGAAGACAGGCTTGCAAGTGACGCCTGATTCCCCAAGGCCATCTGCTCTAGTTCCGGGAGCTTGGAGCTTCTGTGGGGCCTTAGTCAGCCTGGGAGTTAAGCCCCAGTCCCTCCAGCTTCAGTGGAGTCAGCTTTCCCCAGGCAGCCTGGGCTTAGGGGAGATGGAAGCCAGAGACTCTTTCCCACCCTGGGTCCTCTCCAGAAAATTCAGGCTCCTGAGAAAGGGAGGGCTGGGCATCCCATCCCGTCGTGGGGCTCAGGGGATATGGTAGGGGTTGAGAGTGGTGATGGCGATGAAACGGGTTCACAGGGTGGTGTATGTGGCATCATGGCCAGGAGGCAATCCCAGAAGGTTGAGGGCACAAGCAAAAATCCCAATCTGTGTTTACTAATCTTGTTTCACAGCCTCCTATCAGGAAGTTCTTTCTGAGGTCTCATTGACATCCCACTTTAGCTCCTCAAGAACAGGGCAGAAACCAGGACAATTGCAGTGACTCTGGGGACCTCTTCCAGCTCTCACCAACACACTGAGAGACCCAGCAGCTTTGGGAGCCAGAAAAGGATCGGTGCCCCTTCCCAGCCCCGTGTATGGCCAAAGCACACTAGGGGACACTAACCGGCACGTCTTAGGGACAGCTGAGATTGACAGTGGGGTGGGGTGATGAGTGGGCTGCAAACCAGCCACCCTGACTCCTCTAGGGGCCCCCACCCTCTATTGCCTTGGTCATACCTCCAGGTCAGAGTGAAATATAATGGGCGAAGAAGGAATGGGTGGCATCGTCCCCTGCTTCTAGAGATCTCTGGGGATAAAGCCTTAAACCAGATCCAATTGCCTTGGCCAACTTCTTTGGTCTCTTGCGTCGGGGAAGCTGTTTCAGGGACAATCCCATGGCTCTGTGGTCTCTGCCTTTTTCAGAAGCTCCTGTGAGGAGCAATGGGTTCTTGTCACACTTCCTGGCACGGCTTAGTGCTGAAGAGGTCTGTTTGGGAGAGGCTGGGGGGGACCCTGGGAGCCCCGATAATCATCTTGTTATGGTCAGCTGCTCGTCTCCATGGAGATGCCCCCCACAGCCAGGGAGGCACCTGGAATGTCTGGCCACCAGCCCGTCCTTCGCCTCTCGGTCCAGGGTCACTGCCAGGGCTGGGCTGGAAAGCAGCTGAGAGAGAGGAGGAGGCGGCCTGGCTTGAGGTGGGAGGTGGGCCGTGGGCCGCAGTCTCAGGGTGCTCGTTCCTGACAGAGGCAACTTTTAGCTGGGGGATCCCCACTTCCATGTTGGGGTGGGGAGGGGAGAGTGATCCCTGGCCTGTGGACAAAGTCTTCCCTTATCGGAAGATGGGCTTACAGCTTAGCCACCTTCGACCCTTGGAATGCATATGTGCCCACATGCACGTGAGGGTGTGTCTTTGACTGATGAGGGACTGAGGCTTTGCACACCCTCACACAAAATCATGCACACCCACACTGGCTCATCCACACCCCCACACATGGCACACTCACTCCATACTTGACCCAACTACAGTCAAACAAGCCCTGACAGCGACTCTCACTCATTACACACACACGCTCAAACACACTCAGATACACACCCACACTCCACATCCTTATATTCACACAGCCTTACACTCTCAGGGGCACTCACACCCGAATACACACTCACCCACACTCCTACCTTGTGGGGCCAGAAGCCACACATCTATGTACTGAGTCGGACAGAGCGGCAGTGTGTGTGGAGGTGGGCACAGGACTGGGGGTACAGGATTGGGGGTTGCGATATTCCAAACAAGACACGGAGGTCAGGACGTGGGATTGGGAAGTCTTTAGGTTTTGAGATCACAACCCAGATTTTCAGAGCAAGTGGTCAGGAAGCGGGAGGTCTGTAGACTGTGGCTGAGTCTGAGTGCCTGGGTAGGCACACACCATAGCTGTTGACAAATACTTGCTGAATAAGCGAACAGCAGGATAGACTAAAACTTCTGATTTCTAACTGGTAGAGCAGCCACTGTCTCACAGTTTAGAAACTCAGGCACGAGAGTCAGGGCCATCTTACCCTCTGAAGTCAATGGATCCACACCGTTACTGCAGTTCTGCAGAGCAGGTAGCTGAGTCTCAAATACAGGTGACTTGCACGAAGCTACTGGGTAAGGCAGTGGCCTGTCCAGGCCTGGGTCCCCAGTCTCAGAGTACATCTTCTAAGCCCAGAGACATCTGACTGTAGAGAGAAGCCTTGGCGGGTCCAGCTGCCAGGGGCGGAACAGAAAGTGACAATGCTCTGTGCTGTCCCAGGGATGTGGACTCCCGCTAGGAAAGAGGAGGACCTGTAGGGGATGCCTTGAGGGGCACAGGGTTGAAGAGGCCAGCAGACATCTGCAGAAGGGCTCCTGGAAGAGTCTCATGTGGAAAAGAGTATCTCCTGGCCTTTCTACTAGAGAGCTTGTTTATTTTGTAATTATTACTAATTTATTTTGAGATGGAGTCTTGCTCTGTTGCCCAGGCTGGAGTGCAATGGCATGATCTTGGCTCACTGCAACTTCCCCCTCCTGAGTTCAAGCAATTCTCCCACCTCAGCCTCCCGAGTAGCTGGGACAACAGGCGCCTGCCACCACACCCAGCTAATTTTGTTTTGTATTTTTAGTAAAGACAGGGTTTCGCCATGTTGGCCAGGCTGGTCTCGAACTCCTGACCTCAAGAGACCTGCCCTTCTCGGCCTCCCAAAGTGCTGGGATTACAGGCGTGAGCTACCGTGCCCGGCCCTTATTTTATTATTGATTTTTTTTTTTTTTCTTGAGACAAGGTCTTGCTCTGTCACCCAGGCTGGAGTGCAGTGGCACGAACACAGCTCACGGCAGCCTCCATCTCCATTAGTGATCCTCTCACCTCAGCCTTCTGAGTAGCTGGCACCACAGCTACGCGCCACCATGCCTGGCTAATTTTTCAAATTTTTTGTAGAAATGGGGTCTTGCCATGTTCCTCAGGCTGGTCTTGAACTCCTAGCTTCAAGCGATCCTCCCACCTCAGCCTTCCAAAGTGCTAGAATTACAGGTATGAGCCACAGCACCTGGCTCATGTATTTCTTTATTATTTCATCAAACATTTATTGGCCAGGCGTGGTGGCTCATGCTTGTAATCCCAGCACTTTGGGAGGCCGAGGTGGGTGGATCACCTGAGGCCAGGAGTTCAAGACCAGCCTGCCCAACATGGTGAGACCCTGTCTCTACTAAAAATGCAAAAATTTGCCGGGTGTGGTGGCACGCACCTGTAGTCCCAGCTACTTGGGAGGCTGAGGCAAGAGAACCTCTTAAACCTGGGAGGAGGAGGTTGCAGTGCGCTGAGATCATGCCACTGTACTCCAGCCTGAGTGACAGAGTGAGACTCCGTCTCAAACAAAACAAAACAAAACAAAAAACATTTAAGCATCTTTTTTTAGTTTTTTAAATTTATTTTTATTTTTTATAGGCAGGGTTCCATCTGTTCTGCAGGCTGGAGTGCAGTGGTGTGATCCCAGCTCACTGCAACCTCAACCTCCTGGGGTCAAGTGATCCTCCCACCTCAGCCCCCAGAGTAGCTGGGACTATAGGTGTGTACCACCACACTGAGCTAATTTATTATTTTTTTCTACTTTTTGTAGATATGGTGTCCCCCTATGTTACTCACACGGGTCTCTAACTCTTGAAGTGAGCCTTCTGCCTTGGCCTCCCAAAATGCTGGGATTATAGTCATGAACCACCTCGCCTGACCACGCACTTTTTTTTTTTTTTGAGATGGAGTTTCGCTCTTGTTGCCCATGCTGGAGTGTAATAGTGTGATCTCGGTTCACTGCAACCTCCGCCTCCCGGGTTCAAGTGATTCTCCTGCCTCAGCCTCCTGAGTAGCTGGGATTATAGGTGTGTGCCACCACGCCCAGCTAATTTTTGTATTATTAGTAGAGATGGGGTTTCACCATATTGACCAGGCTGGTCTCGAAATCCTGACTTCAGGTGATCCTCCAACCTTGGCCTCCCAAAGTGCTGGGATTACAGGTGTGAGCTTCCAGGCCCGACCTCCCAAGCACCTATTTTTCAATGCCAGGTTGGCCATGGTAAGCACCAGAAATACTATGATGACTAATATCTTATATAATATTGTGATAAGATATACCACAATATTAGGTAAAAAGCATCTGGATGCCAGTAAGAGGAAATTTGACTCAATGTGGCTTGGGCAACGGTGGTAAATGGCTCACATAACTGAACAATTTAGAGGAAAACTTCACTTGAGGCTTGATCCAGCATACATGTCCTTTCTGTCTCTTCTGTCTTCCTTCCATGCTGTCAGCCTCATCCTAAGGCTAGATTCTCTGTGGTTTCAAGAGAGCTGGCAGTGGCTCTCGGGCCACATGCTTCCTTGTTAATGTTCAGCAGGGAAGATGGAACATCTTTGTCACTAGCTGTTCCAGTAAACACCCTAAGGTACACTCTGATTATATCAGCTTGGTCATGGGCCCATCCCTCATGTTTCCCACCTCTGGTCCCAAGAGAGATGTCAACTTCCTCTGAAAAAAATGGATTCCCAAATAGAAACTGAGGACTGTTCCTGCCTTCATGGAATCTAAAGGCTAATTAGTGGAGGATACTGCAAATACAAGCAACCAGAGGCAATTTGGACAGCATTAAATCAAGCGCGGAGCCCTTTTAAGGCCCACATCACCTTCCCATGCCCCTCCACCTTTATACTGAGTCCTGAAGGATGAGAAGGAATTAGCCTGTGGGCTGATCCAGGGAGAGGTAACAGCTTGTCTAAAAGCCTGAAGGCAGGAGATGAGGGTGACCTGCAAGAGCTGGACAGAGTTCAGTGTTGCTGGAGCTGAGAATGCCAGATGAGACTAGAAGGGTGTGTGGGGCCAAGTTAGGCAGGATCCAGGCCAGGGAGGTTCTGGGGAACCACAGCCTCCTACCGTTCTTGCTTAGTCATCCCTATAAGCTCATCCATCACCAACCTAGGGTGTCAGGAAGGAGTCAACTTGGGACCAGTTGCCACCTTGGATAGAGACCAATGCACACAGTGCAGGGAGGGGCCTGGGTGTCAGGACCTCCAAGTTATTCTGAGACCCAGAGTAATTCCCACTACCACTCTTTACCTCAGTTTCTCCCTCAGTACCACAGGGATGTGGCATGAGATGATTTGAGTCTCAATTTCCTTTCCCAGGCCTAGCATTCTTGGATTATTTTCTAGGGTCCTAACAGCCTTAAATTCAGATGAGAGAGGGCAGGGGGACATTGCATCAGAGGGCAGGGTGTGAGAAAAGGGACAGAGACACAGCTGAAGCAGAGAGATCCTGAAAGCCACACATGAAGCCAGAAGGCAGCAGCAATGGGAGGGGACTTGGCTGTGAGGACCTGGAATGCCAAGTTTAAGAATTAGAGGATGCAAATGAGAGGGGTGGGAAAATGTGTCCAAAATGGTACTTAAGAAAGGTGGATTTAAACAGCAGAAATACACAAAAAACAAACAAACAAAAAACAAAAAAACAAACAGAGGCTGGGTGCTGTAGCTCATGCATCTGTAATCCCAGCACTTTGGGAGGCCGAGGCGGGTGGATCATCTGAGAATAGGAGTTCAAGACCAGCCTGGTCAACAAGGCGAAACTCTGTTCTACGAAAAATACAAAAATTAGCCGAGTGTGGTGGCGGGCACCTGTAGTCCCAGCTACTCGGGAGGCTGAGGCAGGAGAATCGCTTGAACCTTGGAGGCAGAGGTTGCAGTGAGCCAAGATTGCGCTACTGCACTCCAGCCTGGGCAATACAGCGAGACTCTGTCTCAAAAACAACGAACAAACAAACAAACAAACAAACAAAGGTGGGTCAAGATAGTTGCCGGGGGCAGGATTGGGGGAGGTGGGAAGGCTGCTGAGAGATAGTAAGAATTCTGTCCTGAGTGGATCCTGTCAAAGGGGGAAAGGCTGAGGTCCTGACATTTTTGTCACCATCTTGGCCTGGACCCCTGGGTCCCTGAAACATACCGTGGTAACTCAGATGTGTATCTTGCTCTTTTTCTCTGAATTCCACTTGAAAAAGAAGAAAAGGAATCTCTGGCTGGGTGTGATGGCTCATGTCTGTAATCCCAATACTTTGGGAGGCCAAGGTGGGTGAATCACTTGAGCCCAGGAGTTTGAGACCAGCTTGGGAAACATGGTGAAACCTTATCTCTACAAAAAATTAAAAAAAAATTTATATGGGCATGGTGGTGCGTGCCTGTAGTCCCAGCTACTCAGGAGGTTAGGGTGGGAAGATTGCTTGATCCCAGTAGGTCAAGGCTGCAGTGAGCTGTGATTGTGCAACTGCACTCCAGCCTGGGCAACAGAGCGAGACTTTGTCTCAAAAAAAAAAAAAAAAAAAAAAAAGGAAATTGTTTATACATGCTATAACACAGATGAACCTTGGAAACAGTATGCTAAGTGAAAGAAGCCAGTCACAAAAGTCTACATGTTGTATAAAATGTCAGAACAGGCAAATCTATAGTGACAGAAAGTATGTTAGTGGTTGCCAGGGGCTGGGGCAGATGAGGACTGACTCCTAATGGGGCTGAGTTGTCTTTTTAGAGTGATGACATGTTCTGGAATTAGACAGTGATAAAGGTTGCATAACTTTGTGAATACACTAAAAAACCATTAAATTGTAAAATTTAGAAGGGTAAATATTATGGCATGTGAAGAAGTGTATCTCAATAAGAAGGAAGTAACAAACTTCTTTTTTTTTTTTTTGTGACGGAGTCTCATTCTGTCACCAGACTGGAGTGCAGTGGCTCGATCTCGGCTCACTGCAACCTCCGCTTCTCGAGTTCAAGCGATTCTTCTGCCTCGGCTTCCTGAGTAGCTGGGACTACAGGCACGCACCACCACACCCAGCTAATTTTTGTATTTTTTAGTAGAGACAGGGTTTCACCATGTTGGCCAAGATGGTCTCGATTTCTTTTCCTCGTGATCTGCCTGCCTCGGCCTCCCAAAGTGCTGGGATTACAGGTATGAGCCACCGTGCCCAGCCCTGGAAGTAACAAACTTCTTTGTTAGTAACAAACTGTGTGGAAAGTTTGGGGAGACAGAGGGAATTTACTTTGGTGGTTTTTTGTTTTGTTTTGTTTTGTTTTTGTTTGTTTTTTTTTTTGAGACGGAGTTTTGCTCTGTTGCCCAGGCTGGAATGTAGGGGCATGATCTTGGCTCACTGCAACCTCCACCTCCCGAGTTCAAGAGATTCTCCTGCCTCAGCCTCCCAAGTATCTGGGATTACAGGCGCGTGCCACTACGCCCGGCTAATTTTTGTATTTTTAGTAGAGACAGGGTTTCGCCATATTGCCCATGCTGGTCTCAAACTCCCAACCTCAAATGATCTGCCCACCTTGGCCTACCAAAGTGCTCGGAATACAGGCGTGAACCTCCGTGCCTGGTGGGGAATTTACCTTGTACAACACGTTCAAATTGAATATTAAACATCTCTATTCTTCGAAATCATTTTGGCTCCTCCACCAGAGGCTATTTCTCCCTGGCCCCTTCACCCCACTTAGTACCCCTGCCTCTGGCCACACTGCTGGTTTTCTCTACCCTCCCATCCCCCCCTCCTTACTTTCTCTCTCCTGATTGCTCACTATACTCTAAATTACTTTTTATACAGTGTTTAGCTTAGCCGAAGGGTCACTGGCACAGTCCCCAAGATTTCCTTTAATGAGACCCACTCTCTTCAGGGTTGTGTTTTGTTTTGGTTTGGTTTGTTTTGTTTTTTGAGATGGAGTTTTACTCTTGTTGCCCAGGCTGGAGTGCAATGGCATGATCTCGGCTCACTGCAACCTCTGCCTCCTGGGTTCAAGCGATTCTCCTGCCTCAGCCTCCCGAGTAGCTGGGATTACAGGCATGCGCTACCACGCCCGGCTAATTTTGTATTTTTAGTAGAGATGGGGTTTCTTCACGTTGGTCAGGCTGGTCTCGAACTCCCGACCTAGGGTGATCCGCCCTCCTCGGCCTCCCAAAGTGCTGGGATTACAGGCGTGAGCCACCGCGCCTGGTCTCTTCATGGTTTAAAAAGCAGTTTGCACCAGTCTGGGCAACATAGTGAGACCCTGTCTCTACAGAAAATAAAAAATAATAGCCGGGTGTCGTGGCACACACCTGTAGCCTCAGCTATTCAGGAGGCTGAGGCAGGAGGATCGCTTGAGTCCAGGAGGTCAAGGCTGCAGTGAGCCATGATCACACCCCTGTACTCCAGCCTGGGTGACAGAGTGAGATCCTGTCTCAAAAAAAAAAAAAAAAAGTTTGCCCCACTCTGTTACAAGTAAGTAGCACTGTCCCAATGGTGGCTGCCATTCGCTGCCATTGTTCTTCCAGACTGAGCTTCATGGAGACAGGGACACAGGTCTGGTTGTGCAAGTCAGCCCCTAGTACCTTGCAAGGAGTTTAATAAATATTTGTGGGATGAATGGATGGGATTATTCAGAACCCTCTTGAAGTCCACCTTCCTTTCTCTCTCCCCACAGGGGATAGTTACGAGAAAGAATTAGAGGCCCAGAAACTTCTAATGGGGTCAGCCGTGGAAGAAGCCTGGTGGAATAGACAAAGCTCTGGCTAGAACTTTTGTAGTCTGTAAGGAGAAGGAGGCTAAGTGTTTGTGGCCAACCCCAGATTGGAGTGGATGTGGACCCAGGAGGGAGGAGGCAGAGATGACATTAAGGTTCCATGCCTGGGTCCTTCGATGGGCCTGGGCACAGCCGACACAGGCACCTAGCCTGCCCCCACGGCTGGGGCTCCACCTAGAGATCTTATCCACGGCATGGCTGATACATGGTACTGAGTCATGAGACCTGCGGCCTAGGAAACAGTTCCGCTGTTGAAACAGGCCCAGGGGAGGGGGGCTAGATGGGTGTCTCTGACTTGCTACTGGCACAGACATCATTGCCACCCACACTTCCTGTCACCCCTGGGTCACCTTGATGGTCATCACTCCTCTCTGACCCTGTCACTCATTTGTCACCCTCACCATCATCCCTGCATCACAACCACTGCCCCTTTCTTACCCACGCTGTCACTTGACCCAGTTCCCATCATCGTGTTACCTTCTTGAGCATTGCCACCATCCCTGCCCCTGCCCCATGCCCAAGCCTGTGGCTATCTGGACCAACCCTTTGTCAACCACCTCCAACCCAACCTGTCACTTGCTAGTTCATTCCCATCTCTCCTGTCACCTTGACTGTCCCCACCCGACCCTGTCACCTTGTCACCTTTGCTGCCACAGCCCCAACATAGTCTCCCGCTCTTACCACCTATCTCAGTCCCCATCATCTCTAAGTCTTCTGGACTGTCACCACCCTCCTGCTGCCCCTTTGTTAGTCAACCACTACTGCCCTACCTCTGCCTCCTCCCGATCATCATCCACATCCTCTGATCTCAAGCCCCTCACTGAGGTCCCCTTGGTGTCTTTCTCTTTGACATGCTCAACATGTGCCCACATTTGAGACTTTGCCCCTGCCTTTCCAGCCTCTGGCCTCCTCTGGGCTTCCTGACCTGGATTTGCTACACTTAGCTTTGCCGTCTGCCCTGGCAAGCGATGCTTCATTTTGACCTCTAGGTGGGCTAGGCCTTGGGCCTAGGCACTTATTCCCAGGGTATTAAATAAATACCAGGTAGAAGCCTTTTCCAGGAAGCCCTGAATCTTCTCTGCATGCACTCATGACAACTGGCAGTTGCCTCTGCCCAGCCTGGCCCTAAAATCTCCATTTATTAACATGACAATTATTTTCCTTTTTAGAATTCCCCAATATATCCCCTTTTTTTTGAGACAGAGCCTCACTCTGTCCCCCAGGCTGCAGTGCAATGGCGAGATCTTGGCTCACTGCAACCTCTGCCTCCCGGGTTCAAGTGATTCTCCTGCCTCAGCCTCCCAAGTAGCTGGGATTACAGGTGTGCACCACCATGCCCAGCTAATTTTTTTGTATTTTTAGTAGAGACGGGGTTTCACCATGTTGGCCAGGCTGGTGTCGAACTCCTGACCTCAGGTGATCTGCCCACCTCGGCCTCCCAAAGTGCTGGGATTACAGGTGTGAGCCACCGTACCCCAACTGTGTTTTTGTTTTTTTTTTTTGAGACGGAGCGTCGCTCTGTCACCTAGGCTGGAGTGCAATGGCCCAATCTCAGCTCACTGCAACCTCCACCTCTCAGGTTCAAGTGATTCTCCTGCCTCAGCCTCCCGAGTAGCTGGGATTACAGGCATGCACCACCATGCCCGGCTAATTTTGTATTTTTAGTAGAGACGGGGTATCACCATGTTGGCCAGGCTCGTCTCAAACTCCTGACCTCAGGTGATCTGCCCTCCTTGGCTTCCAAAAGTGCTGGGATTCCAGGCGTGAACCACCATGCCCGACCCCAGTGTAACCTTATAATTCATCAGTGTCCCCTTATCCTGATGTGATAGCCCCCCAGTACCTTGACACTTAACACTTATAACTAACCACCATTCGTGTAATCATGTGTTTAAGGCTGTCTTGCCCACCAGGCAGGACGCTGTGGGAGGGCAGTAACTATGTTTTGGTCACTGCCAAGTCCCCATAGTGCCTGACTTCCAGTAGGAAATCCATAAATGTCTGTTGAGTTAATAAATACCATTTACCAAGTCCTTAATATGTGCTGGGCACTATGCTAAGCACTTGATTAACTTGTTTGTTTCCTGTTTTATGTTTGCGGTCCCTTTCTATTTTATGTACTTTTGAGCATTTCAAAGCTTTTTGGCACGGACACTTCTGACAAAGTTCAAACAGAGAAGTGCATTTTCAGTTACTCATCAGAGTGAGGCCACTTAGAGAAAGGCAGTTAGTTACTCACGGAACAGGGAAAACACTTTCTTGTAATTAGGGAAAAGGGAATCTGGGCATGACATGTCAACTCTGTATTTCATCTTCTGTTCTCCAAGGGAGTTTCAAGAAACTGAGGGAAGGCCGGGCGCCGTGGCTCACACCTGTAATCCCAGCACTTCAGGAGGCCGAGGCGGGCGGATCATGAGGTCAGGAGATAGAGACCATCCTGGCTAACACAGTGAAACCCTGTCTCTACTAAAAATACAAAAAATTAGCCGGGCGTGGTGGTGGACGCCTGTAGTCCCAGCTACTCAGGAGGCTGAGGCAGGAGAATGGCGTGAACCCAGGAGGTGGAGGTTGCAGTGAGCCAAGATCGGGCCACTGCACTCCAGCCTGGGCGACACAGCGATACTCCGTCTCAAAAAAAAAAAAAAAAGAATCAAAAAAATAAAGAATAAAAAAAAAACATAAACTGAGGGCTAAGAGGATGGGGCTCGGGGTTCCTGAAGAAGACCCCTTCTTCTCACCTCTGGAAAGCAAAAACTAGATTCTTTTTTTTTTTTGTTTGTTTTTTTTTTGTTGTTGTGTTCTAGGAAAACTTTATTCATAAACACAGGCAGCCAATAGTTTGCCAACTCCTATTTTAGAACATGAGTGAGAATCATCAATAAAACTACAAATCTTTGCAACAGTCAGAATAAGAAAATAGTGAATTAAAGACTATTAGCATTTCAGCCATCTAGGACAGTGTTCTTCTCATTATCATACGTAAATATTTGTTTTTTTGTTTTTTTTTTTTTAATTGATCATTCTTGGGTGTTTCTCGCAGAAGGGGATTTGGCAGGGTCATAGGACAATAGTGGAGGGAAGGTCAGCAGACAAACAAGCGAACAAAGGTCTCTGGTTCTCCTAGGCAGAGGACCCCGCTGCCTTCCGCAGTGTTTGTGTCCCTGGGTACTTAAGATTAGGGAGTGGTGATGACTCTCAACGAGCATGCTGCCTTCAAGCATCTGTTCAACAAAGCACATCTTGCACCGCCCTTAATCCATTCAACCCTGAGTGGACACAGCACATGTTTCAGAGAGCACAGGGTTGGGGATAAGGTCACAGATCAACAGGATCCCAAGGCAGAAGAATTTTTCTTAGTACAGAACAAAATGAAAAGTCTCCCATGTCTACTTCTATCCACACAGACCCGGCAACCATCCGATTTCTCAATTTTTTCCCCACCCTTCCCGCCTTTCTATTCCACAAAACCGCCATTGTCATCATGGCCCATCCCCAATGAGCCGCTGGGCACACCTCCCAGACGGGGTCGTGGCCGGGCAGAGGGGCTCCTCACTTCCCAGTAGGGGCGGCCGGGCAGAAGCGCCCCTCACCTCCCGGATGGGGCGGCTGGCCGGGCGGGGGGCTGACCCCCCACCACCCTCCCGGACGGGGCGGCTGGCCAGGCAGAGGGGCTCCTCACTTCCCAGTAGGGGCGGCCGGGCAGAGGCGCCCCTCACCTCCCGGATAGGGCGGCTGGCCGGGCGGGGGGCTGACCCCTCCACCCCCCTCCCGGACGGGGCGGCTGGCCGACCCCCCCCGCCGCCTCCCTCCCGGATGGGGCGGCTGGCCGGGCAGAGGGGCTCCTCACTTCCCAGTAGGGGCGGCCGGGCAGAGGCGCCCCTCACCTCCCGGACGGGGCGGCTGGCCAGGCGGGGGGCTGATCCCCCCACCTCCCTCCCGGACGGGGCGGCTGGCCGGGCGGGGGGCTGACCCCCCCACCTCCCTCCCGGACGGGGCGGCTGGCTGGGCAGAGGGGCTCCTCACCTCCCAGTAGGGGCGGCCGAAAAACTAGATTCTTACCTCATGCCATAAAATCGATGGATTCAAGAGGTAAATATAGGCAGGGTGGTAGTTCACACCTGTAATCCCAGCACTTTGGGAGACCGAGGCGGGCAGATCACTTGAGGTCAGGAATTCAAGACCAGCCTGGCCAACAAGACAAAACCCTGTCTTTACAAAAAAATACGAAAATTAGCCAGGCGTGGTGGCGGATGCCTGTAATCCCAGCTACTCCGGAGGCTGAGGTATGAGAACTGCTTGAATCAGGGAGGCAGAGGTTGCAGTGAGCCAAGATCGTGCCACTGCACTCCAGCCTAGGCAACAAAGACCCTGTCTCAAAAAAAAAAAGGTAAATATATAAAGGATTAAAAATTAAAACAAACCTGGATATTTCTCATATTCCTTCCTCAGCTATTTCATCTCTGAGTATGATCCTTGGGAAAGTAATTGCAGAGACAGACAAAGCCTTTGCCCAAAGATCATTCCAATGTTATTTATAATATTGAAACACTGAAATACAAATGTATATTTATGAATAAAAAAATAAAAAATTTAAAAGTTGGAAACAAACTACTCAGTGACAGTGACAGAAGGTAGTTAAATAAAGTATGGTTTGTCTCTTAGTTATTAAAATAATACTTCTGGAGTTGATAATCTATCATCATGGCATTAGCTAAAAAGGGCATTATACCAACAGGCTTATGGGAAATTATTTTCAATTATGTCAGTAGAGCACTTAGAAAGATTAATGGATGAAAAGAAGTGAAAGCATTAATAGGCATTATGTTATTTCTGAATTGTGAGCAATTTGTTTTTACTTGTAGTTTTCGCATTTTCTTTGGTAGGCATTATTACATTTAGAATAAAAGCTATGCATTTATAATAAAAAAAAGAGAGGCAAAAATGGCCAGGTGCGGTGGCTCACACCTGTAATCCCAGCACTTTAGGAGGCCAAGGCGGGTGGGTCACCTAAGGTTGGAAGTTCGAGACCAGCCTGGCCAACATGGTGAAACCTCGTCTCTACTAAAATTACAAAAATTAGCCAGGCATGGTGGCATGTGACTGTAATCCCAGCTCCTCAGGGGGCTGAGGCAGAAAAATTGCTTGAACCCAGGAGGTGGAGGCTGAAGTGAACTGAGATCACACCACTGCACTCCAGCCTTGGCGACAGCGAGGGGCTGGGCGTGGTAGCTCATGCCTGTAATCCCAGTACTTTAAGAGGTTGAGGCAGGTGGATCACCTGAGGTCAGGAGTTTGAGGCCAGCCTGACCAACATGGTGAAACCCCATCTCTACTAAATACAAAAAATTGGCCGGGAGTGGTGGCACGCGGCTGTGATCCCAGTTACTTGGGAGGCTGAGGCAGAATTGCTTGAATCTGGGAGGTGGAGTTTGCAGTGAGCAGAGATTGCACCATTGCACTCCAGCCTGGGCAACAAGAGGGAAACTCCATCTCAAAAAAAAATGTTTTATGTGAAAGTACCATTATTATTATTATTATTTTAGACAGATCTTGCTCTGTCACCCAGGCTGGAGTGCAGTGGCACAATCTCGGCTAATGCAACCTCTCCTTCCTGGGCTCAAGCAATTCTCCTGCCTCAGCCTCCCAAGTCGCTGGGATCACAGGTGTGTGCCACCACACCTGGCTAATTTTTGTATTTTTAGTAAAGACAGGGTTTCACCATGTTGACCAGGCTGGTCTCAAACTCCTGACCTCAAGTGATCTGCCTGCCTTGGCCTCCCAAAGTGCTGGGGTGACAGGCATGAGCCACCTAACCGGGCCATGTCAGTATTTTATAATCCTATATTACTTTTGATTTATGAGATTGTAAATTCTTTTTTTTCTTTTTTTTATATACAGAGTCTTGCTTTGTCACTCAGGCTGGAGTGCAGTGGCTGGATCATGGCTCATTGCAGCCTCCTGCCTCAGCCTTGAAAGTAGGTAGGATTACATGCCCATGCTACCATGTCCAGACAATTTTTTATTTTTTTGTACATAGGGGTTGTGCTGTGTTGCCCAGGCCGGTCTTGAACTCATGGCTTCAAGCGATCCCCCTACCTTGGTCTCCCACAGTGCTGGGATTAAAGGCATAAGCCAACACCTAGATTGAAAGTTTTATGAGGCCAGGATTCTTAGACAGTCTCTCGCTCTATTGCCCAAGCTGGAGAGTGCAGTGGCCCAATCTTGGCTCGCTGCAACCTCCGCCTCCCGGGTTCATGCAATTCTCATGCCTCAACCTCCTGAGTAGCTGGGATTGCAGGTGTGCGCCACCACACCTGGTTAATTTTTGTATTTTTCAGTAGAGACAGGGTTTCACCATGTTGGCCAGCCTGGTCTCGAACTCCTGGCCTCAAGCAATCCATCTGCCTTGGCCTCCCACAGTGCTGGAATTACAGGTGTGAGCCACTGTGCCTGGCTCAGGATTCTTTTCTATTTCCAAGCACCAGACTTTGTAGATGTTGAATGAAAGAGGGATAGGGAAAGTGCAGCGGAGTAATTAAGCAGACTTTTTTGCTGCACCTCTCATCTCTTTTACTTTAATTCTCCAGAGTAACCTCTCCTTACACAGAAAGAATGTTTTGGGGGCCGCCTTGATCTACAAAACCAAAAACCAAAAACAAAAAACAAAAAACAAAACAAAACAAAAAACCTCACACATGTGATGACATATTTAGGAAGTGCTGTAGACTTGAGAAAATCTTATCAGAAATATGAAAATAAGACCCGATTATGCACTAAGCCTGCTCCTCCTCCTTTGTTTCCATCAGAGAGGGGCACCACCCCACCAGAAACCCTGGGGCTACCCCACACACCTGCACCCCAACTCGATCATTCACTGGCACCATCCTCCAGTCCAGCCCCTTTTTCCAATCCTGATGCGACTCCCTTTGTTCCAGTTACCACCAACTCCTGCCGTTATTACTGCAACTGCTTCCTAACCAGTTTCTCTGCTCCACTCCTACTCTTCCCACCAAATTCGTGCCTTCTGAGCTCCAGCAATGCTTTAGAGCTTTCTAACATACTAATCTTTCCCTGCCACTCCCGTTTACAGACTTTCAGTGACCCCCATCAGTCCCTCGAGCAAGGACAAGACCATTCATGGTCCAGCCCGGGCTTAGCTCTCTAGTGTCAGGGGCTCCCATCCTGCTCCAGCCACACATTTCCCAGGCTCCCTCGGGGCCTTTGCATGAGTTGACTTATTCTTTCTGTCCCTCACCCTTTTGCCTGGCTAACTCTTTCTCATTTCTGCTGTTAAAGAGGATGTCCCTTCCTCCAGGAAGGCTTCCCTGATATTCCCAAGCTCCAAGCTTGGTTCAGCGCTGTCCTCTCAACTCCCACAGACCCGTGTGCTTATCACCTCTATACTTGCATTGTAGCTTCTTGTTTACTCACCAGCTTCTCTACATGCCTTGTAAGTCCTCCAGGTCTGGGACTGGGACTTGTTCTCCAGTGCGCATCTACCACCTAGCACTTGGGAGAGCTCCCACGGCTGAATACATGAATAATGAATAAATGAAGTACTCTTGTAGGAACTGATTAACATTTTTTCTTCTTCTTCTTTTTTTTTTTTTTGAGGCAGAGTTTTGCTCTTGTCGCCCAAGCTGGAGTGCAATGGTCCAATCTCGGCTCACTGCAACCTCTGCCTCCTGAGTTCAGGCGATTGTCTCGCCTCAGCCTCCCAAGTAGCTGGGATTACAGGTGCCCGCCACCACGCCCGGCTAATTTTTCTATTTTTAGTACAGATGAGGTTTCACCATGTTGGCCAGACCTCAGGTGATCCATGCACCTCAGCCTTCCAAAGTCCTGAGCCACTGCGCCTGGCACATTCACACTTCTTAAGATGCTCGGTAGACATTCAGAAAAAAATGTCCTAAAAGGACGCATACATTCTCCAAAGAAGGCTTAATTGTCTTAGGATCTAAGAAATCATGTAGATTTGATTGGCAGGAATTTGGGGGTGAATATATAGATAGGAACTGTGGTGTACTAAGGGGAGGGGGCAGTTGGTTCACCCCATCTGTGTATTTTACCACGGACATTGTTTAACATTGCTGCTGATAGGGACAACAAGAAGCAGACTGACTTTTTTTTTTTTTTTTTGAGACGGAGTCTCGCTCTGTCGCACAGGCTGGAGTGCAGTGGTGCGATCTCGGCTCACTGCAAGCTCCGCCTCCCGGGTTCACGCCATTCTCCTGCCTCAGCCTCCTGAGTAGCTGGGACTACAGGCGCCCGCCACCATGCCCGGCTAATTTTTTTTGTATTTTTAGTAGAGACGGGGTTTCACCGTCTGGTGGTCCTCCCGTCTCAGCCTCCCGAAGTGCTGGGATTACAGGCGTGAGCCACTGCGCCCGGCTGCAGACTGACTTTTAGTCAGTTTTATTGTTTTTAAGTTCATTGCATCGCTTCTTAGCCTTTTGGCTAAGATCAAGTGTTTTTAAGTTCATTGCCAATGATGCGCCCCCTATTGCCGGCCCCTGGGGAGGACAGCACCCACCCCCACGCCCCCATTTAAGTATGCCACCTGTAAGGAACACTGATTACTGGGTGAGCTGGTCTGTTTTCCTTCCCTCAGCACTGAGCTGGGAAGTATCCAACCTCCCAAAACCCTGCAGGGCAAGATTGTCCCTCCTGGACTGGGACCCACTCCCTGTAACTCCTCTAGCAACCCCTACTCTCTCAGGGGAGCCCTCTGAGTCTCCTCCCTGGAGGCTGTCTGTGGGAAGAAGTCTCCCTGTGTAGGGATGGGAGGCCTTCCCTTGCGTAGGATCTAGCCTAGGATCTAGTCTTGTCCCAGCCACTAATCCACCCTGAAGCCTTGGTCTGGCCCTCAGGGCTTTACTCCACCTACCTATAAAGCTTGAGGAGTTTGGTGAACTGGGTCCTGAGGTCCTTCAGGGACCTTCCCGAGTTGCGGAAGGGGTGTCAGCCATGGGGATGGGTGGAAGGTGCCCCCTCAAGCCCCCTCTTCCTGCTGTACTCTCTGACCTGAGTGAGACATTCTACCACAGGGCACTGGCTGGGTTGGGCGTGTCGGCCCGCAGGATGGAAGGCAAGTCTGGACAGGTGGATAGTGGAGCCTCGGCCCCAGGGTGGGGTGTGTGCCCTGGAGAACCAGGAGACAGGCAGGAGCAGATCCTAGGCAAAGATCAGAGGTGGGTGAGGTGGCTCCAGCAGGCCAGCTGCCCTTACCTGGCGACTGTCTCCAGGAATTGCAGAGACAGATACTGGGCTAGGCTAGGTCCTGGCTCTGCGGTAGGGATGGGGAGTGGCTAGAGGGTGGAGAACAGTCCCTTGGTGAGGTCACTTGTATGGTGGGACCCCAGGTAGAGATGGGGTTTTACCAGGTTGGCCAGGCTGGTCTCAAATTCCTGACCTCAAGTGATCTGCCTGCCTCAGCCTCCCAAATTGCTGGGATTACAGGTGTGAGCCACCATGCCCAGCCGAGTGACGCATGTACAAAGTTGACCATGTATTTACAGATACGTCTGGCACAGAGTAGGAGTTGAGGACATTCTTTAGACCCAGCAAGACTTGTCTTGGTAACTAATTGGGTGTGCTGGCAAAGCACAGGAGGAGCCAGGAGGGCTTTTAACCAGCTTCCTTCATCTGGGGGACGATCAACTCACCTGGGCTACTCGGGTTTCCTGGTTTTCTGTCTATGTTTGCAGACTGCCCCTCTGTCCTCAGGGAGTTCCCAGACTTGGGGACAGACTTCTGAGCAGGAATACAGAGGTGAGAGAGGGCAGGAGGGGACAGAGCCCGTCTGGGCCTAGAATGGGGCTCTGTGCTCAATAAGAGGCGCAAAAGGTATGAATTATCAACAAGAAGGGGTTCCATGGGGGGCATAGTTAGGAGTCTCAGGGTTTGGACAGAGGAGAGGAGAGGGATGGGTCCTGCTGCCACCCTGGTTTTTCCCTGAGGCATCTGTACAGAAGCAGAGGTCTGGTAGTAGCCCATGAGGTGCAGCGACAGCTCAGCTGCAGATATATATTGTAAAGGAATAGAGGTGCCTTTCTGGCATGAGTCTTGGCTGAGGGTGTGGGTAGGATTTAATAAGGGTGGAGGTAAGGGGTTTGGGGGCGCTGGAGGCTGGTGGTTGGGCGGGCCCCACGCAGGGTGTTGGTCCCTTGAAGCCACAGCTGTCAGCTTGTGGCTTCCCATCCTGCTAGCTCAGCAGGTCCCACAGGTTGGCAGGTGACTCACCCCTCACCCTCAAATGGTCCTTGCTCTGAAAGGGGTAGGAGGGATGCAGAATATAGCACCTGTGTGTTCACCTATATGGGCGCAATGCTGTGTTACACACCTGGGTCCAAGATGTGTACCCGTGTCTGACTGAGCATACATAGGGAGTCCCCAGGCACACAGCCCCCTAGACTGTGTGCCACAGGTGCGAAGGGGGCATGTGGCATGGGCGGAGGTAGTGTGGATGAACACACAGCACTTCCCAGAGCACACGCACATGTGACAGGTGTCTTCCTGAAAAGAAGGATTGCAGCTTCAGAGCCTGTCGAGCCATAAGAAGCGGAGGTCTGAGAGGTGGGAAGGGCTCTCTAATGACAGCTCATCTTCCCCAAGAAGGACTTGGCTGGATCAGCTGGCAGAGCTGGGCACCCTAAGCCTGTGGTGACGGCAGCAGCTTCCCTAACCTTATCCCTAAGCTCCCGGCTGCAGGCCAGGGTGGTTCCACTGTCCTAACCCTGAGACGGCATTTACACCCCACAGGCCACACAGGCAGGCTGGGAGCAGTGAGTGGCAGGTGGGCACTCAGTCATTGCTTTCTCTTACCCCCTCTGCAGGCAGGAGGGACGTGAGGGTCCTGGCTGCGTCTGGTCTGAGGGGCTGTGGGGTGAGCACGTCAGCCCCAGGTTGCGCATGCCCCTGGTTTGTGTGGCACTGTATGCACACTCCACAACTTGGTGTGTTGGCCCCTGCCCCGGCACCTGGGGCCTGGTGCTGCCTTCCCATCACACTCCATGATCTGAGAGATGCTTGAAGAGGGCCAAAGAGTCTGGACTAGGAGCCAGGAAGCTCTCACTTGGTGACTTTGGAGATGTCCCTTTACCATGTCTGGGGCTCAATTTGTAGAGGGGCAATAATCCCTGTGGGGTCACCTTGCCAGGCTGCTGGGTAACAGATTCTCATGGAGGCGCACGGAAAGTCAGGAAAGCTCGGTCCTGGAGGCTTCCTATGGGGGATGGTGGTGTCCCCTGTGTTGCTCGGTTGAAGGACTAGGGGCTGAAATCAGATCGCAGCCTCCAGGGAACTTGCACTGCCCCACAGAGGGGTTCAGACCTCCTGGAGATGTGAGGCATTAGAGTTCTGGGGCTGAGCTTCCAAATAAACTTCAAAACAGTGATGTGACAGGCCAAGACCTGCTCTCAGTGAGGCTGGAAAAATCCTTCCACCCATCCCTGCCCATGGGCCCCGACCCTGCTGCTGGAGTGAGCTGCCATGAACTCCAGCCTGAGCCCGGGAACCAGCTCAGATCTTACCCTGTCTCTCATTTGCCTCCGTCCCCACCCCCAGCCTGCTGCCTCTCAGGTTCACACTTCCTGGGCTCAGAGTTTCATCCTGAGGCTGTTGGCTCAGCCAGAGCAAACAGAGACAGCACTAAAGTCAACAAAACCAGAGAGCAAGCAGCGCAGGTGACGTGGAAAAGAAAACTTGGAAGCCACAACAAAGGCATGTGGGCTGGGCCGGGTGGAGCCCTTGAGGGGACTGGAGTTGGGGACGCACGGGTGACACCTCCAGTGGACTCAGGCTAAAGGAGTCAGCTTCGGCTGCCAGCAGGGGGTGCTAGAGCCAGTCTCATGGGTGCTGAAAACAGGATGAGGTTGGGAGTCTGGGGGTTAAGGTTCCACCTTACCCAAACCCATCTCACTGAGGCTCTTGGCTGGGTTGCCTCAGCTGCTGTGAAAGGAGTGAGAGGCTCAACTAGGGGCCAGGGTTGTGGGTAGGGGCGTGCAGGGCGGGAGTAGACAGGCTGGAACAGGAGAAAGGAGGAGCTCCCGGCTCACTGCCCCACCCCAGGTGCTTCCCCCGCACCCCCTCGCCCAGGGCTCAAGGGCTTGGAGCCGTGAATTCCTGGGGATGCCCAGGACGCCCCCACAGGCAGAGTCACCTGACAAACTGTTTCTCTCCCACTCAGTGGGGGAAAGCTCCATTCTCTCAACATTTATTGTGCATCTGCTATGTTCCCAGTGTAGGAGAAATCGTCTGGGAATCAAATGGCCCCACCCGTCACGGGCTCAGCAAGCCAGTTGTCCCCAGGAGGCAGCCTGCCCAAGGCCCTGTCATGCCTGGAACCCCCACCCGCTCAGTGAGTCGGCTGCCTGTTAACTGGGCTGGCAATTGCAGGGTGCCTGGGGCAGCCTGGCCCCTAGACTGAGGGGGTGACCAAGGGTTCAAGTCCAGAAAGCTAAGCCACTAGGCTGCAATGGCAAGGGCTGGGAGACCAGACACACCATTGGAGCGGCTGAAGAGGAAGGTGGATGTCCCTGAGCATTGCTCTTGCTGTCTGCAGAATGAGCATATTATACTCTACTCCCAGCACTTCTAGTTTGGCCCTGGCATCAGGCAAGAATCTGTTAGGGCAGGAGAAGGACAGGAGGTGTGGAGTACAGAGTTTCCCTCCCTCAGATGGGCTTCCTACCCACCACCCAGAGAGTTTACTCTACCAGGCCCTTGCCATGCCCCCTGCCCACTCAGTCCATTCTCCCAACAACCCTGCAAGATAAGGATTCATATCTTCATTTTACAGATGAAGAAGCCCAGTTAAATTTCTTGCTTTAAGTCACCCAATGCTGATTAAGAAGCTGAGCTGGATTCAAGTTCAGGTCTGTCTGTCTAAAAAGCCTGAGCTATAAACAACTCACACCCAGGTGGGGCCCTGAGTAGGGAAACTTCAAACCAGCCTCAAACTCAGGCTCCTGGCCAGGAGGTCTCTGGGTTTTTCCACTGCTCCTTCCGGCCACCACTTCAGTCTCTCCTTCCTCCTTCTCATGATGCGTCCCTTATCCTGAGCCTCCTCCCTGCTCCGATTAACCTGGTACCTGAGTCTCTACCATTTTTAGACTCTTTCTTTCCTGTGGGTTAGGAAATTGCTGCTTGGAGCTTTTCCTTTAAAATGCTTTACTGTGGAAAGATTATGAAATGGGTTTAGGCAGAAATCAAAGAATAAAAGCAGAAGGCGAAGTACTGATGCGGGGGACGGGGGGAATGTGACAATGGAGGGGTCAGGCTGTCACTCCCTGAAGCCACTGAGCAGTTGGCATCACTGAGCATGGGCAGCTAGACATGACGTGTCTCCTGATGGGATGAAATAGGAAGCATGCAGCACCTCCACAGAGGACCCGCTGCTCCAGCCCACATGCAAGACTGAACCTAAATAAAATCACACCAGACCGGGCGCGGTGGCTCGTGCCTGTAGTCCCAGCACTTTGGATGGCCGAGGTGGGTGGGTTGCTTGAGCCCAGGAGTTCGAGACCAGCCTGGGTACATGGCGAGACCCCATCTCTACAAAAAATACAAAAATTAGCGTGGCATGGTGGCATGCGCCTGTCGTCCCAGCTGAGAGAATCACTTGAACCCGGGAAGTCAAGGCTGCAGTGAGCAACATTCACGCCACTGCATTGCAGCCTGGGCAACAGAGCGAGACTGTCTCAAAAAAATAAACAAAGCCAGGCAGGGTGTGTTGGCTCACGCCTGTAATCCCAGCACTTTGGGAGGCCAAGACGGGCGGATCATGAGGTCAGGAGATCGAGACCATCCTGGCTAACACGGTGAAACCCTGTCTCTACTAAAAATACAAAAAAATTAGCCAGGCATGGCGGTGGGTGCCTGTAGTCCCAGCTACTCAGGAGGCTGAGGCAGGAGAGTGGCGTGAACCCGGGAGGCAGAGCTTGCAGTGAGCTGAGATCACACCACTGCACTCCAGCCTGGGTGACAGAGTGAGACGCTGTCTCAAAATAAATAAATAAATAAAATTAATAAAAAATAAATAAACCATACACCATTAGAGCTCTTTTTTTTTTTTTTTTTTTTTTTTGAGACAGAGTCTTGATCTGCCACCCAGGCTGGAGTGCAGTGGCACAATCTTGGCTCACTGCAACTTCTGCCTCCCAGGTTCAAGCAATTCTTGTGACTCAGCCTCCTGAGTAGCTGGGACTACTCAGGCACCCACCACCCCACCTGGCTAATTTTTTTGTATTTTTAGTAGAGACGGGGTTTCACCGTGTTGGCCAGGTTGGTCTCGAACTCCTGACCTCAGGTGATCCTCTCGCCTCAGCTTCCCAAAGTGCTGGGATTACAGGAGTGAGCCACCACACCTGGCCACTTTTTTTTGTTTTTGAGGCAGAGTCTTGTTCTGTTGCCCAGGCTGGAGTGCAGTGGTGCAATCTTCGCTCACTGCAATCTCTGCCACCTGGGTTCAAGTGATTCTCCTGCCTCAGCTTCCCCAGTGGCTAGGACTACAGGCGTGCACCACCACGCCCAGTTAATTTTTGTATTTTTAATAGAGACGGAGTTTCATCATGTTAGCCAGGCTGGTCTCAAACTCCTGACCTCAGACGATCCTCCTGCCTTGGTTTCCTAAAGTGCTGGGATTACAGGTGTGAGCCACTGCGCCCAGCCCAGAGCTGACTTCTCATATTTTTTTTTTATTTCTTTCTCTTTTTTTTTTTCTTTTTTTTTTGAGACAGGGACTTGCTCAATGGCACAGACATGGCTCACTGCAGCCTTGACTTCCCAGGTTCAAGTGATCCTGCTGCCTCAGGCTCCTGAGTAGCTGGGACTACAGGTGCATGCCACCATGCCTGGCTAATTTTTTTCCTTTGAGATGGAGTCTCGCTCTGTCGCCCAGGCTGGAGTGCAGTGGTGTGATCTTGGCTCACTGCAAGCTCCGCCTCCCGGGTTCACGCCATTCTCCTGCCTCAGCCTCCTGAGTAGCTGGGACTACAGGCGCCCACCACCACGCCCAGCTAATTTTTTGTATTTTTAGTGGAGATGGGGTTTCACCATGTTAGCCAGGATGGTCTCGATCTCCTGACCTCATGATCCGCCTGCCCCGGCCTCCCAAAGTGCTGGGATTACAGGTGTGAGCCACTGCGCCTGGCAATTTTCGTGTTTTCTGTAGAGATTGGAATTCTCCATGTTGCCCAGGCTGGCATTGAACTCCTGGGCTCTAATGATCCACTTGCCTTGGCCTCCCACAGTGCTGGAATTAGGGGTGTGGGCCACTGTGCCCAGCCACTTACTCAAAGAAATACAGGGGATGACGGAAAAGCTGAATGACACTACAAAGAAAAAACACAGACAAATCTAGAATGTGGGACTCTTACAGGACTACATTTATTCAGCAAGTCAATGACATGAAAAAATAATGATGGAGAAAGGGGAATTCCTCTTGTTTAAGAGAACATTTAACCCAACGTAATGTGTGACCTTGTTTGGATCCTGATGCAAACAATCCAACAAATCAATGCAAAAAGACACTTTGAAACAATTCCAAGTATTTGATCATTCTATGGAATTGTATATTTTGTCAGGTATGGCACTGATTATTTAAGAAAATGTTCCTATATTTTAGAGGGAACACTGAAGAATGTAGGAATGAAATGACAGAGTAGCTGGAATTTAACATATTTCAGAAAAATAAAAATAAAATAAAATAGGCAGTTTGAGACCAGCCTGGCCAACATGGTGAAACCCCATCTCTACTAAAAATACAAAAATTAGCCGGGCCTGGTGGTGGGTGCCTGTAATTCCAGCTACTTGGGAGGCTGAGGCACAAGAATCTCTTGAACCTGGGAGGTGGAGGATGCAGTGAGCTGAGATCGCTCCATTGCACTCCAGCCTGGGCAACAGAGCGAGACTCCGTCTCAAAAAGGGGAAAAAAATGGCTGTAAAATGGAGAATGAGTGAGGGTGATGCAGGAGAGGTGAGCCCCAAAGTGGGGCTTGGCCTGCGAGGGTTCTCGGCTTTGCCTCTCAAGGGCAATGCAGAGAGAAGTAGAAGAAAACAGCTTTATTGAAGCGGCAGTGTTACAGCTCCATGACTGCCCCTGCACAGCAGGGCTATACAGAGGCGGAGAGCAGCAGCCCAGGGCAGTTTTGCAGTTATATTTATACCCACTTTTAATTGTATGCAGATTAAGAGGCAATTTATGCAGAAATTCCTAGGGAAGGGGTGGTAACTTTTGGGCCATTGGGTCATTGCCATGGAAAGGGGTGATAACTCCCAGGTGTTGAGATGGCAATGATAAATTAACATGGCACATTGGGGCGCATGTCTGATTAGAAAGCTGCTTCCAGCCCTGTTTTAGCTAGTCCTCAATCTGGTCCAGTGTCCAAGCCCCACCTCTGGAGTCAAGTCCCGCCTCCTACTTCAAGGGGGATGCAGACCGGGAGACCCGTGGAGAGGCTCTTGGAGATTAGATTTGGGGCTGATTGAGGGGGCCACGAGAGAGGGAGTAGTTGAGTGACTCCTGGAGGGAAAGCTTCAGAGATGTGGTGGGGAGGAGCATTCCTTGGGCTAGGCCCTTGGGAAGGGGGCAGACTGTGGGGAGGTGAGGTTGGGTTGGGGCAGGTGAAGGTAATGTGCTTGTTACACATACGAGATAACAAGAGAGGAGGCTGGACCACTTGTTCTTGAGCTCCGGGCTGGAGATGGAGGCTGGGGAGGTGGCAGCATTTGCGTGGGGGAAGAGGATGTGAGAGCCATGCAGGGCTGCCTTCTCCATGACGCACAGGAGGCACAGGACCCATGAGAATGTTCAATCTAAGGGCCCACAAAATGTTTTAGTTTGCATCCAAATAAGAAAAAGAAGAACTTGTAGGCTGAAGAAAATGTTTTAATATTGATACATCAGGGCCGGCGTGGTGGCTCACACCTATAATTCCACTTATTTGGGAGGCCGAGGCGGGTGGATTGCTTGAGCTCAGGAGTTTGAGACTAGCCTGGGCAACATGGAGAAACTCCGCCTTTACAAAAAATACAAAAATTAGCCAGGAGTGGTGGCAGGCACCTGTAATCCCAGCTACTTGGGAGGCCAAGGCAGGAGAATCGCTTAAGCCCAGGAGGCAGAGGTTGCAGTGAGCTGAGATCGCACCATTGTACTCCAGTCTGGGTGACGGGAGTGAAACCCTGTCTCGGAAAAAAAAAAAAAATTAATATATTTGTCTTTATACCAATAGTTGTAAAATAGAATTAATTATTACTATTATTATTATTTGCTGGAAGAAGGGGCCCAAAAGGGCAAAAATGCCAAGGGCACATATATCTAAAAGAATGGAAAGCATTGGGAGCTAAATGATAAGAACTTACGAACACAAAGAAGGAAAGTGCAGACACGGGGGTCTTCTTGAGGGCGGGAGGAGGGAGAGGAGCAGAAAAGACAACTATTGGGTACTGGGCTTAGTACCTGGGTGATGTAATAATCTGTACAACAAACCACCATGACATGTGTTTACTATATGTCAAACCTTCACGTGTGCCCCCAAACCTGAAATTAAAAAAAAAATAATTGAAAGCAGGATCTCAAAAAGATAATTGCACACCCATGTTCATATCGGCACTATTCCCAATAGCCGAAAGAGGGGAGCAACTCAAGTCCAGGGATAACTGAATGGATAGACAAAATGTGGTACATTCATACAATGGAATATTGTTCAGCCTTAAGAAGAAGGAAATTAGCTGGACATGGTGGTGGGCACCCGTAATCGCAGCTACTTGGGAGGCTGAGGCAGTAGAATCACTTGAATCCAGGAGGCGGAGGTTGCAGCGAGCCAAGATTGTGCCATTGCACTCCAGCCTGAGCAAGCGACAAGAGCAAAACTCCATCTCAAAAAAAAAAAGGAAGGAAATTCTGACACGTTACATGGAGGGAGCTTTGAGAACACTATACTAAGTGAACTAAGCCAGGCACAGGTAGACACACAGTGTATGGTTTCACTCATATAAAGTATCTAGAGTAGTCAAACTCATAGAGATGGAAAGTAGAATGGTGGTTGCCAGGAGTAGGAGAAAGGGAATTGAGGAATGATTTAATGGGTATAGAGTTTGCTTTGCAAGATGACAAAGTTCTGGAGATTGTACAACAATGTGAATATACTTTCCACTATTGGACTCTACCTAAAAAATAGTTAAGATTGGGCTGGGCATGGTGGCTCATGCCTGTAATCCCAGCACTCTGGGAGGCCGAGGCGGGCAGATCATGAGGTCAGGAGTTTGAGACCAGCCTGACCAACATGGTGAAGCCCCGTCTCTACTAAAAATACAAAAATTAGGTGGGTGTGGTGGGGCACGCCTATAGTACCAGCTACTCGGGAGGCTGAGGCAGGAGAATCGCTTGAACCTGGAAGGTGGAGGTTGTAGTGAGCCGAGATCGAACCACTGCACTCCAGGCTGGATGACAGGGCAAGACTCACCAAAAAAAAAAAAAAGTTAAGACCCGCCACCCCCCAACCAAAAAAAATAGTTAAGATCACTAAGTTTATGTTGCATTTTTTACCACACACATACACACACACACACGCCAGGCTGGGCACGGTGTCTCACATCTGTAATCCCAGCACTCTAGGAAGCCAAGGTGGAAGGATTGCTTGAGCCCAGGAGTTTGAGAATAGTCTAGGCAACAAAGTGAGACCTCGTCTTCACAAAAAGAATTCAAAAAATAGTTTGGCATCTTGGTGTGCGCCTGTAGTCCGAGCTACTCAGTGAGAAGAAGCTGAGGTGAGAGGACTGCTCAAGCCCAGGAGTTTGAGGTTGCACTGAGCCAAGTTCGCACCACTGCACTCCAGCCTGGGTGACAGAGCGAGACCCTGTCTCTAGGAAAAAAAAAAAATGCCAAGGGCCTATGAAAGTCCTAATGTGCCCCTAGGGTGGAGAGGAGACCACCCAGAGATGGAGCCTGAGAGAGGTGGAGGCAGAGGGGCTATGCTGTGGGAAGAGCCTTAGCGGTGAGTGTCTCCCTCTGTCCATGCTCCAGCCTTCTCTCTCCTCCCGTTCAGGGAAGCACTGGGGCATCCTCTAGCTGGGCTAGGAGCCAGGACACCTGGGTTTGACTCACGCTAGCCCTTGGGCTGTCCCAAAAGCAGAAGAGACAGTGTCTGCTCACCCAGCCCAGCCTGGCCCAGCCTGCACCCCAGGGACCAGTGCAGGCATGGGAGGGTTCTCCATCAACCCAGGGAGAGGCCCAGCATCTAGGGAGTTGCCACTCTCCCTGGGGCCCACATGTCCCACCAAGCCTTCCTGGCTGAAGCTTAATGCCCGTGGGTGCCGGTACCCCAGACCCTGACCACACAGATCTCTGCACAGGCCCTTGCTGCAATCACTGTTCTCCTGGAAAGCTGCCAATTGAATCCCACCTTCCCACTGGCTCACCTGGACATTTCAAAGCTGCTTTCCTGCTGAAGGGAGGGGCTCATTGTGAGCATTTCCTAGGGTCTTTGCTCCCTGTTTGCCCTTAAGGGGACAACTATGCATAGAGAGGCCTCAGGATTTGGGCAGAGATGAGGGAGTCGGGAGGGTCTTTCAGGGAACGGCTGGCCTTGGCCTATGTGGAGGCAAGCAAGGAGGCTGTTCCATCAGGGAGTCCCCAGCGTGAGTGGGGAGACCGGGCAGTCACACTACACTGGGGCTACCTCCTTTCTCTGGCTGAGCAGGAGAGTGGAGAGAGTGCAGCTTGCCCGGGGGAAACTGAGATGGGCTCCCTGCCCGCCCTAATCCCCCTGTTCCCGACCCACAGCCCCTGACCAGATCAGATAGGGCACGTTCCTGCATGGAGCTGCTCACTTACTGGGACCGTGCTGACGCAGGCAGGGAAATATTAACCTGGAAGAATGGTCGCATGTTCACGTGTGCACAACTTGGGGAGTGTGTGTGTGTGTGTGTGTGTGTCTCACTACAGAGAGGCTTCCGCGTGCAAGACCAGACACACATAAGCAGATGCATGTGTGCGCACATACACACATACACAACACACACACACACACACACCTGTCCATCCACACAGGCACATGCTCACATATAGGTATATACAAAGACACAAATGCTTCTCACACATGCAAATTTCTTCAGTGTTGTCTCCCTGGCTGCTTCCGTTAATAAGACCCCTCTTCCTTCAGGAAGCCTTCCCTGATAGCTCCAGCTCATACTAGAAAGTGACAAGTCTGAGCTCAATCCCTGGTTTCAGATGCCAAGTTAGGCAGCTCCATATAGGCTCTTTTAGGATGGAGTAGGCCTAGGTTGGAATTCTGGGTTCTCGACTTCAGGGGATCTTTGCCCTTGGACAAGTGGCTGTGCCTGATCCTGTCTGCCTTGGTCTCCATCTGCTCTGTCCTGAAGGCCCATGGATGATTCTGAGAAGGATGAGAGCCTGGGCGGGGGGCGAGGGGGAGTTCTGGTAATTGGTGGGTGTGAGAGTTAAAGACCTTCCTGGGTCCTGCCTCTGCCCTTGCCCCTCCCCAGCCTCGCCGCCTAGTAGGGGAACCCTGGTCTCCTTGGGGTGAGCCAGAGCCCTGGTCTGGATGTTCTAGTTCTAGGTGATCTTGGGCAAGTTGTTACCTTGCTCTGAATCTGTTTTCCTACCTGAAAAATGAGTTTGGAAGGAGATGCTTACTTGGGTGGGGCTTAAGTGTCTTTTCTTTTTGGGGCATTCTGAGAACCTTCATGGCTTCAGATGATTCGAGAGAGACCAGGGCTCCTTGAGGGACCTGCCCTGCCCTCCTACCCCCACCCCTGCGCCTGGAACCAGAGTGGCTCCTTCCTTGCTTGTTTATACCATGGGCTCCTGAGTTATGCAAAGGATTCCGTGGCTCGAAAGAGTCGGAAAAACCACAAGTGTAAAGCAGCGTGATGAAAAGCAGTTTTTGTGATAAGTTAATCCAATGGCATGTTGATTGAAACAAATAATTAATCAAAATGTTTAGTTTTTGTGCGTGTGTCAACACTTTGGGGGACATTCGGGGACAGTTTTTAGCACCTTTAGTCATTTTTGTTTCTTCATTCTGATATTTTAAAATTTCGATTTGCATTTTCATCCTTAATTGAGTTTCAGCCAATTGTGTTTATCCCATGTTGTTCACAATAGAGAAGTGTTGGGTCCATTTAAAATTGGAGACAATCTAAACGCTCATCAATAGAAGGATTCCTTATTATATAATCTCCATCAGGTGGAATGCTGTACAACAGGCATGAGGTGGACATGGACCTACTGTCATAGAAAGATATTCTTAACAAATGTTTGAATGAAAAAAGTATTTTAGACCAAGTGCGGTGGCTCACGCCTGTAATCCCAGCACTCTGGGAGCCCGAGGCGGGTGGATCACCTGAGATCAGAAGTTTGAGACCAGCCTAGCCAACATGGTGAAACCCCATCTCTACTAAAAATACAAAAATTAGCTGGGTGTAGTGGCTCATGCCTGTAGTCCCAGCTACTCGGGAGGCTGAGGCAAGAGAATCACTCGAATCCGGGAAGTGGAGGTGGCAGTGAGCCAAGATTGTACCACTGCACTCCAGCCTGGGTGACAACAGCGAAACTCTGGCTCAAAAGATAAAATAAAATAAAAAAGTATTTTGTTTTATTTTTATATATTTATTTATTTTGAGACAGAGTCTTACTCTATCACCCATGGTGGAGTGCAGTGGTGCCATCTCAGCTCACTGCAACCTCTGCCTCCTGGGTTCAAGTAATTCTCCTGTCTCAGCCTCTTGAGTAGCTGGGATTACAGGCACCTGCCACCATACCTGGCTAATTTTTGTATTCTTAGTAGAGACGGGGTTTCACCATGTTGGCCAGGCTGGTCTCGAACTCCTGATCTCAGGTGATCCACCAACCTCAGCCTCCCAAAGTGTTGGGATTACAGGAGTGAGCCAATGCACCTGGCTATATTTTTATTTGCTAAAAATAAAACTCTGTGTGTGTGTGTGTGTGTGTGTGTGTGTGTGTGTGTGTGTGTGTGTGTGTAGGTCCTGGACAGTCACAGTTTAAGCATCAAGAGGGCCTGAGTTTAGACCAAAGGTATACCAGGTATAAGGTTGTGGCAAATATTGTTTCTTTGAAATTTAAATTTAACTGGGCATCTTATATTTTATCTGGTAACTCTACTCAAGCCCATCCTATGAAGAAAGGACCCCGGGTGTCCCCTCCCTCTCTGCCCCCCAACTATCTCCACTGGCTCAGAGACCCAGAGACCCCCCGCCGCAGGCTCTGTGCAGACTAACATGCTTCACAGCTCTGACCCAAACTCCCACCTTGGTGGCCCCTTTAGCTGCCTCTCTTCTCTCTGCAGTTGAACTTTCTGCCTCCTCAGCCTCTGCTTCTTCAGTGCTGTTGCCACCCTCTATCCCCACCAGCTCATCCAGGCAGCTGTCTGCAAACACCTGCCTGGCCAGCCCCTCCCAGCACCCAACTCTGGGGCAACAGCCCCCTACTGGCTCCCATCAGCCTCTGGGCAGCCCTGTGTCTGGGTTTCCAGCTCCTTCCACACCCACTCCTTCTTCGTCATCCTTCTTCCCCAGAATCCTGGCCCTGGCCCTTGCCTCACTCCCTGTGCTTCTTGGGCAGCCCCAGCAACTCTAGTGCTGAATGTCCAGGGGCTGATATCTCCTCTTCTCTTTCTCCAGCTAGACTCCTCTCCCCAGCCCAGGCCCAACTGCGCCTCTGCCTGCTGGATGCCCTGGGGCCTCAGGGACCTCAGGTTGACCCTGTTGCTCTTCTCTTTGTTTAGAACCCTTTGCAGGCTCCTCAGGCCCTCGGGTTAAAGTCAGAACTCCTTGGCCTGGCTGACAAAGCCCTTCATGGTCTATCCCTGCCCACTTCCGCAGCCCTCTGCAAGTCACTCGCAGTTCCCAGGTTTTCTCACAATCCCATCAAGCTTCAAATGCCCCGGTGCCCCATCCCCCTGCTCGTTTTGGAAAACTCAGTTCCCACGTCACCTCTAACGGAAGACCCTTGTACCCCTCCAGCTTGGGATAGCCCCGTCTGTATTCCTTCCAGCCTATCTGGTGTGTCCTAAGTCACCTGCTGCTTACCTGTCTCTGCCGTGAGACAGATGGGACTGTGTCTTCTCCACCTCTCAGTCCCCAGGGTCAAGCCCTGTAAAAGAGCTTAGAGCCTGATCTCTGACCCCAGCATGGATCCCAATTCCCTCCCTCACCAACCTGACACCAGCCCATTCCAACTCTGCCCAAGTGCTGACCTCATCCAAGACCCCAGATCCACTTCTAACATGACCTCATCCCGGCCCTGGGAGCACACATGGGAAAGGAAAAAAGGCAGGACTCTCCCATTTCCAAGCGTGCACCCCTCCCTTCCTGAGGAAGAAAGGCTGAATCTTGAGCCCACGTAGAATCTGCAGAGGGAGGCCGGGCGCAGTGGCTCACACCTATAATCCCAGCACTTTGGGAGGCCGAGGCGGGTGCATTACCTGAGGTCAGGAGTTCGAGACCAGCCTGACCAACATGGTGACACCCCGTCTTTACTAAAAATCCAAAAAAACTAGCTGGGCTTGGTGGTGCATGCCTGTAATCCCAGCTACTTGGGAGGCTGAGGCAGGAGAATCACTTGAACTGGGAGGCAGAGATTGTGGTGAGACAAGACTGTGCCACTGCACTCCAGCCTGGGCGGAGCGGGACTCCGTCTCAAAAAAAAAAGAATCTGCAGAGGGAAGTTAGTGCCTTACAGAGGGCTTCTGACTAGGAAGCCCCGGGACTGTGGCCGACCCCTTCCTCTCCCTGCCTCACCCCTGCAGAAAGATCTGCAGAAAAAGCTGGAAGGGGTGGGAGGGTGTGTGCAGGGGTGGGGACTGGGGCTATGCAGGTTCCAGACCTGGTCTTTGGCACCCTCTACAGGACAGTTCCATTCCCAGACCTGAGCTTTGGACAACTGAATCTTATGCCCCTTCCCACCCATGGAGCCTGGTGCCGGAAGTTCCCAGGACTTACCCACCGTCCACCACGCCACATAGCAAGCGTCCTCAGTGTCTGCAGACCAGAAACACCTCCCTTGTGTCTCAGCACTGGGCCACCTGCTGAAACCCCAAACTGCCTGCCCCATTGTTTGAGACCCAGTCAGGCCTTGGCTCCAAAAGTCCTCTGGGACTGCTGCTGGCCCCCAGGGTCTCTCCTGACTGCACCTCGGTCCCGGAGCTCCCACACCGCTGAGCCCCGAGCCCGATGTCCCGATCCAGCTCTGGGTCCTTTACGGGGGCCTTGCTGGCCTTTCCTAAGGGAGGTGTTTTCCCGAGGACAGGTGGACTGCTCCTCAGACTAGGGGCCCTCGGAGGGCCAGGCCTGGGCTTCTACCTCCTCTCGCAGGCTGGTGTTTCTCTGCAAATATGGCTCGTGTGTCCTCCTTCCTCTCAGACTGGGGGCCCCTGAGGACTGGGCCTGAGTTTCCCTTTCCCCCTTCACAATGGGGGTTCCCTGAGGACTGACCCAGGGCCTCCCCCGTCCCCTCCACCTGGCTGTTAATCTCCAACACTTCCACCTCCAGTCCTATTCTGCACAGCTCTCCCCAGCGCTGGGGGCTCAGAGGCCTCTTCAGCCTTCCCCAGGGCTGGGGCTCAGGGAGGGCTTCCTCAGGCGCTGGCCCCAGAGTCAGGCTGCACATTGGCTTGGAGGACAGGCCTTTCCTCTGGGACTGAGAGGCCCAGAGTGCCCACCCAGAGCTCCACCTCTGACCTCACAAAGGCCTGCTTCAGAACTCGGTCTCCACGGCACTGCTGGCCGGACGAGGGATGTTATTTTGGGCAGTGCATCTGGACTTGGTTCAAGTGGCACCAGCCAAACCCCTGCCTTACTGACCTCTCCCCTGGAGGAGCAGGAGCAGCGCTCGAGGCCGCCCTGGGAGAGCTGAGAGGCAGGCTCTGGACTGGGGACACAGGGATAGCTGAGCCCCAGCTGGGGGTGGAAGCTGAGCCAGGGACAGTCACGGAGGAACAAGATCAAGATGCGCTGTAACTGAGAAGCCCCCAAGGCGGAGGCTGAGAATCAGAGACATTTCAGCAGAGTGAGTGGGGCTCCAGGCAGGGTGGGGATGGGGCAGCCTCCTCAGCGCCCAGATCTGGAAGGGCCATTCCCTGGGTACCATACAGGGAGGAGGTGACTGAGGGATTGTTTGGGGAAGGAGCCCCGTCTGGGAGTGGAAGTCCCGGCTTTCTTGTTATGGTGCAGTCCTGTGTTGCTGTGTGACACAGGCACATACACCCTCTCTCTGGGCCTCAGTTTCCTTACCTGTAAGTTGGTTGTTGGGAGGACCAGCGGTAGAGCAGAGATGGCAGGGATGCACTGAGCTGGGCTGTCAGCAGACCATGGGGGTGGGACGAGGAGAGAGCTGAAGACCACCGGCAGTGGACCACAGCGGGAGGCGTGCAGGCAGGAGACGGGTCAGCTGCCGGCTTGCTGGAGTCATTCCTCCCACGCAGTCCCCTCCTGAGGGGCTGGAGCTGGGGCTGGAGGGTTTCGGCAGTCAGGGCTGGAGATAAGAGTCTGTGCTGGAGCTAGAGGGAACTGGGCTAGAGAATCAGGAGGACAGACAGGGTGAGGGGACTTCGGGCTACCTTCATGCTGTCAGTTAGAGATAAAGATAGGAGTACAAAGGGGAATTTTTGGGTGAGGTACACGGGTGAAATGAGTTTTCAGGGCCTCATCCTGTGTGTTCACCTTCTGTGTGTGTGTGTGTGCATGCGTGCATGTGTGTGTGTGTGCAGGTCCTGGACAGTCGCAGCTTAAGTTAGCAGCAAGAGGACTTGAGGTTAAAGGTATAGCACGCAAATATGAGGCTGGAGCCACTGAGTAGAGGCTGAGGGCATCTCCACAGTCCAAAGCCGGGCTGCAGACACGGAAGGTCAGCAGGAGCACTGGAGGGTCTGGCCTGGGGCTGGGGTCCTGGGGCCAGCATGGGTGGGGTGGGGCTCCAGGGCGTCGCCTCATTGGCTGAGCACCGCTCCTCCCTCCCTGTTCCTTGGCTGGGTTAAGGGAGTGGCACTAGCAGGAGCTGCCCCAGGGCTTCTCCCCTGGGGACCAAGGTCTGATGGAAGTGTGGGGCCAAGTTCTGTGTCCTCCAGCCCTAGTGACCTCTCTTTGGCTCCTCAGCATCTACAAATCTGAAAGACAAAACATGGTTCAAGCATCCGGGCACAGGCGGTAAGTACCCCACCCTCTTCTCACCCTCCAGCCCCCTGTCCTTCACCCAGCCCACTTCAGTGCCCTCCCTGTTCCATCCTCAGCCTCTCCCTTGGGGCAGCTGTCCCCACTCGACCTCCTCCTCCCCACCCACCCACTCGCCTCTGAGGTCCCAGAAGAAGAGCATCTTCCACCTGTTGCCTGGGCTGGGTCCTGGGGTGAGGGGAGGCTCAGAAATACTTGGATGAGGGTCAAGGCATGCAGGTGGCCTTCAACTCAACTGCACTCAGCACCTCTCACCCTCTCAGGCTCAGCTGTCTTTGGGGTGAACAAGAGCCAGTCCTTGCAATGGCCAAGGCCCAGCCTTGTTAGCTTTCTGGCCTCCCCACTCCAGCCCCCTGCTCTCCCTCCTCCAGCCACACTGAGTTTCTTTTCAGGTTTTTTTTTTTTTCCGAGATGGAATCCAGTTCTGTCGCCCAGGCTGGAGTGCAATGGCATGATCTTGGCTCACTGCAACCTCCTCCTCCCGGGTTCAAGCGATTCTCTTGCCTCAGCCTCCTGAGTAGCTGTGATTACAGGATTACAAGCACACACTACCACACCCAGCTAATTATTATTATTATTATTTTGGTATTTTTAGTAGAAATGGGGTTTCGCCATGTTCGCCAGGCTGTTCTTGAACTCCTGACCTCAGGTGATCCACCCGCCTTGGCCTCCCAAAAGGTTGGGATTACAGGTGTGAGCCACTGCACCTGGCCTCACACTGACTTTCTTTGCTTTCTTCAAACATGCTGAGAGTCCTCTGGTGACTAGTCTCCCTCCACCTGAGAGGCTTTCTGCAGCTAACATACAGCCCACTCTCGTCTCCTTCATGGCTTTGCTCCAAGGCCACCTTCTCAACAAGGATTACTCTGGCTGCCCTATTTGAAATCACACCCCATCTCCAGCCCCTGCACTCCCAATTCCCCTCTCCTTGCTCTGTTTTTTTCCGTAGGAGCTGGTACCTTCGCTTATACAAATGTACTTACTTATTACATTTCATTGCTGTCAGCTCCACGCAAGCAGGGATATTTGCCTGTTGTACACTTGGACGGAGAGAATGAATAGTGCCACTCTGTTGACATCATTGCCTCTAGCCTACATCGCTCTCCAGGGCTTTAGATCCTGTTTCTAGAGACCCACTGGTGTCTCACAGGCAACTCAGCTCCTAGATGGAAACAGCCTCCTCCGCCCCCTGCAAGTCCACTCCTCCTGTGCTCTTGGCTCAGTCAGGGGTCCCCTTCTCCTCAGTTGCTCAAGCCAGAAGTCAAGGTCATGTCCTTCATACTTCCCTCTCCCCCATGTCTCACATCCAGTCACCAATCTCCTAAAATATCTAGAATGTGCACAGCTTCCACCATTCTTTCTACCACCACCCTACTCCCCCATGGCCATGTCAGGCCACCACCCGCCCATTCTTCAAAACCCCCTTCAGGCCTCACCTCCCATGCCTTCCCTGAGCTCCCCCAGTCCCAGGCTGCTTCTCTCTGGTGTTGTTGCCATTACCCATCTCTTCCATTAAACAGAGTGACCCAAGGGTGGAGAGTGGGTTTTGACTTTGTATCCCTGGTGCTTGACTCATAAGTAGATGCTCAACAAAAAAAAATTTTTTTTTTTTGAGATGGAGTCTTGCTCTGTTGCCCATGCTGGAGTGCAGTGGCATGATCTCGGCTCACTGCAACTTCTGCTTCTTGGGTTCAAGCGATTCTCATGTCTCAGCCCCTCCCCCCCCAGCTGGTATTACAGGTGCCTGCCACCATGCCCAGCTAATTTTTTTTTTATTATTAGTGGAAATGGGGTTCTGCCATGTTGGCCAGGCTGGTCTTGAACTCCTGACCTCAAGTGATCCACCTGCCTCGGCCTCCTAAAGTGTTGGGATTACAGGCATGAGTCACCATGCCTGGCCAACCAATGTTTGTTGAATTAAGAAATGTTGGTTAGCAGGTTGAATTGTTGGCTCGTGGTTAGTTGGATAGTTTATGGTTGGCTGGTTGATTAGATAATTAAATGAGTTAATAGCTGGTTAACAGGAGAATCAGTTAGTTGGTTTTTGATAGGTTAGTCAAAGGGTTAGTAAGCCACCAGGCGTGGTGGCTCATGCCTGAAATCCCTGCACCTTGGGAGGCTGAGGCGGGAGGATTGCTTGAACCCTGGGAAGTCTAGGCTTCAGTGAGCTGTGACTGTGCCACCACCGCACTTCAGCCTGGGCGACAGAGTGAGACCCTGTCTCAAAAAAAAAAAAAAAGGAAAAAGAAAAAGAAAAGAAACAGGCTTTTAGTGAGCTGTTAGCTATTTAGTTCCTTGGTTAGCAGATTACTTAGGGAATCTGGTTGGCTGCCAGTTTCTTGCTTTGTAGGCTGGCTTTCTTGGGCCCCTCTTCTTAGTCTGTACCCTCTCCTTGAGCTCTCTCATCTATGCCCATGGCTCAGATGACCATCTGTGATTTGCTGTCCTCCAAATGTGTCTGTAAGTGAGACCACATGACCAGCTGCCTCCTCACTGGCCATCCCACCCAAGTGTCTAGCGGGCTCCTCACACTCAACATGCCCAGAAAGGGCCTCCTTGTCCATTCTCCCACAGCTTCTCTGCTGCGCCCCACACTAGTCAGGACCTGCCCTAGCCAGGACCTGAGGGCATCGCTGAGCTGCCCCGCTCTCTTCCCTCTCTAACCAAACACCAAGCCTGTCAGCTTGACTGTGCTCTTTTGGCCATTGGCGCTGCCATCTCTGTGGCTCAGGCTGCCGCCACTTCTCCACCCATCTGTGGAGAAGCTGATGCTCACCCTGCCTCCACTCCACTTCCTCCATCCTGGCCTCCACAGGGGAGGCAGCTCTCCTGCTGAAACCCTCCACTTGGCCCATGGCCCTCTGGTAGAGTTCAGACTCCCTAATGTGGGCCATGAGGCCTTCTGCCACCTGGCCCTGGCCCCTCTCTGCCCATCTCATGCCACCTCCACTCCTCCGTGGCCAGCCCATTCCTGCACATTGGATACTGCCTTAGCTGCAGGCCTTTGCACATGCCAGTCCTACGCCCAGAGTGATCCCTGCCTCCCTGGAGGCTCCTTTACCCTCCAGCCTTCTTTTCTTGACCTAAATTTCCCTTTCTCTGGGAGCCTCCTACCCCCTCCTCTAGGCCATTCACTTCCTCCACATGCCCCACGGTGCCCACTCTTTCAGCTGGGGCAGTGCTCATCACACTGCATAGTAATTGCTCAATTGATTGCTTTTCTTCCCACGGGCTGGATCGTACCAGTGTCCTTTACTGCAGTGTCTGAACATTCTAGGCACAGTAGATTCAAGAAATCTTGAGTTCATTGGCTGGTTGGTGGTTATCTGTTGCTTACTGTGTCTTGCCAGCTGTGTGGTGATGAGGAAGGAGCCAGGCTTCCAGGATTCTCTTGGTGTTCTTGGCTTTCTGCTCTATCCACTTCTCTCTCCTCTTCTGTGGTTACCTCCAGCATGGGAGCTGGGGTTGGATGGGGGCCAGTGGAGGGTCACCTCGCCCTGCTAGGGAGAGCAGCAGCATTCCTCAGGGCTCCTAAATTCCCCTGACCTCACAGCAGCAAAAAGTAAGCAGAGGGAATGAGAGATGTCCAGGCATGGAATAAAACATCTTCCACTTTTCAGCTGAGACCCTCTGTTCATAGCTCACCCATCCCAGTCTTTGCTCTATTCCTTACCCCAGAGAAACAAAACCAGGGAGGAGTAGATGGAGGGGGATGCAGAGTTGCGCGGATAATCCACTGGCCCCCATCCAACTCCAGCTCCCATGCAGCATCGTATAGGGGTCTCATTATCCCATGAGCAGCCTCCTCAGCCCTGAAGAAGAGACCCTACCAATGCAAGCAGCAGCCCAAAGACAGTCCTGGGAAGGTACCATAGAGGCAGGGGAGAGGTAGACAGAGCAGGGAGCCAAGAACACCAAGGAAATCCTGGAAGCCTGGCTCCTTTCTCATCAGCACACGGCAGGCAACAACCAGCCAATGAACCAAAGATTTATTGAATCTACTATGCCTACTATGTTCAGGCACTGCAGTGAAGGAAACTGGTATGATCCCAGCCCTTAGGAAGAAAAACCGTTAATTAATTATTAATCAAGCTTTTTTTTTTTTTTTTTTTGAGACAGGGTGTCACTCTGTCACCCATGCTGGAGTGCAGTGGTGTGATCTCAGCTCACTGCAACCTCTGCCTTCTGAGCTCAGGCAATCCTCCCACCTCAGCCTCCCCATTAGCTGGGACCACAGGCGTACACCACAACACCTGACTAATTTTTGTATTTTTTTTTTTGTAGAGATGAGGTTTTGTCATACTGCCCAGGCTGGTCTTGAACTCCTGGGCTCAAGCGATCAGCTCGCCTCGGCAAGTGCTGGGATTACAGGCGTGAGACACTGTGCCTGGCCTAACTGAGCAATTACTATGCAGTGTGATGAGCATTGCCCCAGCTGAAAGAGTGGGCACCGTGGGGCATGTGGAAGAAGTGAATGGCCTAGAGGAGAGGGTAGGAGGCTCTCCCAGAGAAAGGGAAATTTAGGTCAAGAAAAGAAGGCTGGTGGGTAAAGGAGCCTCTGGGGAGGCAGGGGACCATTCTGGGCGTAGGACTGGCATGTGCAAAGGCCTGCAGCTAAGGCAGTACGTGATGTGCAAGGATGGGCTGGCCAGAGGAGTTGAGGGGCTGGTGTCAGCTTCCGGGCATGCAGACAGTGAGATAGCAGAGTGACTAAGGCCACACTTAGAGGTATCTGTATCCCTCTTCTTCCTCTTTTTTTTTTTTTTTTTTTTTTGAGATGGAGTCTCGCTCTTGTTGCCCAGGCTGGAGTGCAGTGGCAAGATCTCGGCTCACCACAACCTCCATCTCCCATGTTCAAGCGATTCTCCTGCCTCAGCCTCCAAAGTAGCTGGGATTACAGGCATGCGCCATCATGCCTGGCTAATTTTGTATTTTTTAGTAGAGATGGGGTTTCTCTATCTTGGTCAGGCTGGTCTCGAACTCCCGACCTCAGGTGATCTGCCCACCTTGGCCTACCAAAGTGCTGGGATTATAGGCGTGAGCCACCGGGCCCAGCCCCTCTTCTTCCTCTTTATCCTCCAGGCCCACCCCGCCACCTTCCCCAAACTCCAGTCCTATACCTCTCTCTATATGCAGATTTGGGCCCTGTTACTCACCTGTTTCATCTACCTTTCCATCTAACCGTGCACTTAACTCAATATAAATCAAGTGCCAGGCCCTTTGGGAAGCTCTGAGGATCTAGTTGGGAGTAAGACAGATTCCCCAGTTTTCACTCATTCAACAAATACTTATTGCACATCTACTATGTGCCTGGCGTGGTGCTGGGCACTGAAGATACACCAGGAAGTAGATCCAGTCCTTCCTTTTCTCCCTCCCTCTCTCTTGGTCATTCATTCATTCACTCACTCTCTCACAAACCTCTGTTTGCACTGACCTGGTTGCACAGCCTGGTGCATTTTGCTGACCCCTTCATTTTTGACAGAACCTGGCGCTTGTTTCAGCGCTCAGTGCTGTTTATAGAGCTCGGCAGCAGACTTTGTCACACCTCATGCTGTTTGTAGAGTGCCTCACTGTTGCCAGGCCCTGGCCTGTGACCCCAAAGTTCTGGCTCTAGCAGATAGGCAGACGGACAGACGGACAGACATAGACAACTGAGCTCCACTTTCCAGCCTGCTCTCTCCCACCCTGCTTTTTTCCAGAGGCTTGTTGGCACCGTGGATTGCACTTTCAGCTCCCCACCCGCCCATCTGCAAAGTGGCCTCATTGGTGTGCCATTTTTACTGGTCCAGTCCCAACTAGAAGGGGCATGGCCTGGCCATCTACCCCAGTTCCTCTCCATGTCCCCGTGGCTCTCAAGTGTCTCCAATTCCAGCTGTCCCAGCTGCCCTGCGCAAGAGGAGGCGTGTGTGGGCGAGGCTGCTGGGTTACCTATTAACTCAGCTGGGAGTTGAAGAGCCGATGGGCAGCAGGCAGACTTGAGTCTCCTTTCTGTCCATGGGCTCGGGCCACTGTCTTAGGTCCACCCGTGGCTCCAAAATGGTCTCCTGGTCCGTGATAGCAAAGATCCAGGAAATACTGCAGAGGAAGATGGTGCGAGAGTTCCTGGCCGAGTTCATGAGCACATATGTCATGATGGTGAGTGGGTGGGCAGCACGAAGTGGGTGGGGCTCCGCCAGGGCCGTCCATGACCCCCTCCCCATGCTGACCCCATGGGTCACATTGTCCATTCCTTGCCTCTGAGCTGGGAGCCTGGGGAAGCAGCAGAGGAAAGTAAGGAGGGGGGGCTTTCTCATCAAGCCTTTTTGGACAGAAAGGGCTCATAATATGTGGGGGTCAAATGAAACCATGCACTGGGGTATCCGGGGCACGGCTGGAAATGGGGAGAAGGGAAACCCAGGATAAAGAGATTGAAGAGGCCCAGGTGCGGTGGCTCATGCCTGTAATTCCAGCACTTTGGGAGGCTTAGGCAGGTGGATCACCTGAGGTCAAGAGTTCGAAACCAGCCTGGCCAACATGGTGAAACCCCGTCTCTACTAAAAATACAAAAATTAGCTGGGCATGGTGGCGGACGCCTGTAATCTCAGTTATTCAGGAGGCTGAGGCAGGAGAATCACTTGAGCCCAGGAGGCGGAGGTTGCAGTGAGCTGAGATCACACCATTGCACTCCAGCCTGGGTGACAGGAGCGAAACTCTGTCTCAAAAAAAAAAAAGAAAAAAAAAAAAAAAGAGAGAGAGAGATTGAAGAGAAACTTGATGATCGGGCTCTGATAATGAATCCAGAGGGCAGTGGGTGATGTTGAAGGCTGGCAAGCAGGGGAGTGACATGATCAGATTTGGGTTTTAAAGGTAATTTTGGGTGCAGTGTGGAGCATAAGCAGAACAGGCAAGGCTGGCAAGAGGGAACCAGTTAAGAGGCTGTTTTTGATCTGGGACAGAGAGAAGGTGATGACTGGTTTGGGGTTGGAGAAGAAAGCACATGTTTGAGAGGGCTGTGGAAGACAGAATCAGGGAGACTCTGCCAGCAGAAGATGTGGGCAAAGCGCCGATGAGCTGTTCTGGAGCACGGGGCCCAGCACAGGGTGAGAGGTGAGATGCCTGTGGGGAAATCCAGGAGATAGTTAAACACATGCAAGGGGCTGGAGCTCAGGAGAGGCTTGGTCTGGAAGGAAAAAGTTGAAGTTCATCACAACACAGGTGGTAGTTGTCAATACTGTCCAGAGACAGTGTACAGAAAGAGAAAAGGATGGGTTGAGGACAGAGCCCTGAGGAATGAAGAAGGGCATGCAAAGGAGCCTGAGAAGGAACGGTCAGAGAGGTGGGAGGAGAACCAGAGCAGACTGCATGACAGAGGGGGGCAGTGGTTCCACCAGGAAGAAGCCGTCAGCGGCGTGGGCAGCGGCAGATGGGCCACGCGAGGTGAGTACTGGCAAGAGGCCTTTGGGTTTGGCAACGTGGAGGTTGCTGGTAACCTTGACAAGGGCTCTTCTTTAGTGTGTGATTGGGACAGAATCCAGACTGCAGGCGGGATGTGAGGTTGCTCCCTCTCCACCTGCTTCAGCCCTGCCACTTACCCCAGCGAGCCTCTGCCCTTAACGTGACTGTAGCCATGTTTATTGCATCTTATGCAGGGTCCAGGGTCTAGAGAAAGAAGGGGCAGCCTCTGGGAAGGGAGGCAAAGGCAGCCAGGTGCATGCTAGAGGAAGGTGGGGTGAGAGAGGCTGTTTGTGTGTGTGGTGGGGCCCATGGAGCTCAAGGGAGACAGGAAATCGGAACACCGGGGTTCTTAGCCTGACCCTGCCACTGAGTGACCAGTTGGCCTTGGGCATGTCTCTGCATGGCTTAAAGCCTGACTTCTCACTTATATCATGTAGAATTAGGCTTTCGTGGGCTTTGGAGCTGTGTTTGAATCCTAGCTCTGTTATCTTCTAGCTGTGCGACTATCCACAAGTATCTTAACTGTTCACAAATTTAGCTTTCTTATTTTTGAGACAGGGTCTCACTCTGTCTCCTAGGATGGAGTGCAGTGGTGTGATCTCAGCTCACTGCAGCCCCCACCTCCCATACTCAAGTGACTCTCTTGCCTCAGCCTCCTGAGTAGCTGGGACTACAGGCGCGTGCCAGTGTGCTCAGCTAATTTTTCTATTTTTAGTAGAGATGGGGTTTCACCATGTTGGCCAGGCTGGTTTCGAACTCCCGAATTCAGGTGATCTGCCTGCCTCAGCCTCCCAAAGTGCTGGGATTGCTGGCGTGAGTCACCTCGCCCGGCCCACAACTGTAGCTTCCTTATTGGTTAACAGGAGCACTAACATCAAACTGGAGGACTTGTGTGAAGAAGGCCAAGTCTCAGCACCCAGTACACCTGTGGTACCCATGTATTGGTCCCTTGTTATTAGGACGGGTGCTCTAGCTGCTCTCTCCTCTCTGCCTCTAGCCCTCCTTTGCTCCTCTCCTACCTCCCCACCTGCTTTGGCTCCTGAGCTGTGAGGACAGCAGTTGGATCCTGTCCCTCCTTAATCCAGGGCAAAGTAATGATCTTATCACAAGACATTCCAGCCCCATGAGGGCTGTTAACCCTTGGAACCTCGGAGGCAGGAGGGTGCGTCCTCTGAGAGCTGTTAGGGAAATAGGCACCGCCCACATGCTTGATACCTGCCCACATCTGTGTTCCTCTTCCTTTTGTTGAGATTTTCATTGAGCACCTAATGCATCCCGGGCTCTGTGATGCTAAGCCCCTTACGTGCAGCATCTTCCCAAATCCTCGCAATAGCCCTGTGAAGTAGGTACTATTATTATCCCAGTTTCACAGATGGGAAAACTGAGGCTCCTTGAGACTAAGCCTTTTGCCCAAGGTCACACTGTAAGTCAAGATTAAATCCAGTGCAGTCTAATATCACAGTCTTTTTTTTTTTTTTTGAGATACAGTCTTGCTTTGTCACAGTGGCGCGATCTCAGCTCACTGCAACCTCCATCTCCCGGGTTCAAGCGATTCTTGCGCCTCAGCCTCTGGAGTAGCTGGAATTACAGGTGCATGCCACCATGCCCAGCCAATTTTTGTATTTTTAGGAAAGACGAGGTTTCACCATGTTGTCAAGGCTGGTCTTGAACTCCTGACTTCAAGTGATCCTCCCACCTCGGCCTCCCAAAGTGCTGGGATTACAGGCATGAGTCACCGTGCCCGGCCCAGTATCACAGTCTTGACCGTTAACCTCTATGCTCTGTCCCTTAGCTTAAATATTGCCAGCTTTTGAAGACTCTGGCTTGTTAATGCTCCCCCAGCCAGGGTAAGGTCCTCACTTTCAGGTAGTTCAAGATGCCTCTCTCGGCCTCAGTTTCCCCATTTATAGAGTGGGAGAAAAATTCTTGCCGTGCAGATTTGCTGTGAGGATTGAAGACAGTAGCACTTGTAAAAGAACTTTGTGAGGTGTAAGCCTATATCGGACATTGTGTTGTTGTTATTTTTAGTTGCCAGGCTGTGCCAAGAAGTGAGGGCTTTTTGTTTTTGTTTTTATATATATATACAGGAATCTCAGTGAGTCACCAGGGTGAAGGTTTTGCCAAAAAAGCTAGTGTGACCTTGGCCCCATTTATTGCAGCCAGGATGAGGGAAGTGGACTGATCCATGTTGCAGCTTCCAGGGGTGTTGCCCTTGGAGCTGGCCTCCTGGCTGTGGGGGAGAGTTGGATGGGCTGGGCCACATTCACTGATCAGGGAGAGGAGGGGCTGGAGCCATCCGGGCCCTGGAAAACCAGCCATACACGTGAGACACGGGGCAAGGGTTGTAGATCACATGCTACGGGGGCCAAGAGAGCGGCAACTCAGGGCGGTGGGGACTTTGGCTGGCTGCAGAGTGCCAATCTGTGCAAGGCTGTAGAGCTGCCGCCACTCCAGCTGACTGTTGCCATGGAGAGTGGAATGCAGGCCAGTGTTGCCTGAGCTGCTCATTTTTCAAGAGAGAAGGAAACTTCTGTTCTTCAAAACCAAGTTATCTAAACAAAACCTGTGCGCTGGATGAATTACGTGCATGAGTTGCCAGTTGGCAACCCTGACACAGGGAATCATGTGGGGTTCATTCACTCACCCAGTATTTTATTTTATTTATTTATTTTGAGACCGAGTCTCACCCTGTTGCCCAGGCTGGAGTGCAGTGGTGTGATCTCAGTTCACTACTCTGCCTCCCAGGTTCAAGTGATTCTCCTGCCTCAGCCTCCTGAGTAGCTGGGATTACAGGCATGTGCCACCACGCCTGGCTAATTTTTTGTATCTTTAGTAGAGACGGGGTTTCACCATGTCGGCCAGGCAGGTCTCGAACTCCTGACCTCATGATCGGCCTGCCTCGGCCTCCCAAAGTGCTGGGATTACAGGCGTGAGCCACCGCGCCCAGCCTATGCTCATCCAGTATTTTTAGCACATGGTATTGGAATGGGGGAAAGGCCATGGGGGCCCCTCTGTTTTCAGACCCTCCATGCCTGCTCCAGTCCCTCTACCTCTTGACCCTGCCAGCCTGTCAACCTGTCCTGGCCTCACTCCCCCCTGCACCCCCATCTGTTCCTGTCCTCTCCTGCTGTATCTTATCCTGGATCTGAAGCCAGCCTAGCTCTGGGCTCCCCTGCTTCTGTCCTGGGGCTTCTGAGGGACCCAGTGGGCCCTGCTCAGCTGCCTCTCCCCCACCATATCTGGGCTATTTCACATTTTCTCAGACTTCCCCAAAGCTGCTCTGTACTCTGACTTTTTTTTTTTTTTAAATCAGCAAATGGCTTGATCTGCTGCTTGACAGGTAAAATAATCAACACTTCCTGTGTTCAGCTCACCCTCTTGTCCCTCTCACCACCAGACCCATTAACCACCCATGTATCCACATATCACCCCTTGGCTGGGGCGGGGTCCTCTCCTTCCTGGAGGACCCCTCCACTTCTGCACCAATCCAGCTGTCCAGCCTATTCAGGTACTTTACTCTGTCCTTTTTCTCTGTCCTTTATCTTCAGCCTGTCCCTCTCTCAGCCTATAAATATACTGAAGTTTCTCCACTGAAAACAACACAAAATGAAACATCCCTCCCTTCACCCTGTCAGCCCCTTCGCGGGATCATGTTCTCTCTCCCCCGCTCCTCAGGCGAGTTCTCGAAGAGGAGTCTACACTGGTGTCTTTCAACTCTTTTTCTTTCTTTTCTTTTTTTTTTTTTTTTTTTGAGACGGAGTCTTGCTCTGTCACCCAGGCTGGAGTGTAGTGGCGTGATCTCGGCTCACTGCAAGCTCCGCGTCTTGGGTTCAAGCAATTCTCCTGTCTCAGCCTCCTGAGTAGCTGGGATTACAGGCAAGCGCCACCACACCTGGCTAATTTTTGTATTATTAGTAGAGACGGGGTTTTGTCATGCTGGTCTTGAACTCCTGACCTAAAGTGATCCATCCACCTCGGCCTCCCAAAGTGCTGGGATTACAGGCATGAGCCACCGCATCCGGCCTGGTCTGCCTTCTTACCCTGTACCCTCTCCTGGGGCCTTCTCCTCTGACGGCTTTGACTTCGGCCCTCATGTCTACAATTCTCCAGGTTTTCTCTTTTATCAACTCTAGAACAGAGTTCTCCAGGGGAAATACAATACAAGCCATCTGTATAATTTAAATTTTTCTAGTATCCACATTAAAAAGGTAAAAAGCAACAGGTGAAATTAATTTTAATAATTAACCCATATATCCAAAATCCTATTTCAAGATGCAGTCAATGTAAAATTATTAGGATATTCTGGCCAGGCATGGTGGCTCACACCTGTAATCCCAGCACTCTGGGAGGCTGAGGTGAGAGGACTGCTTAAGGCCAGGAGCTCGAGACCAGCCCGGGCAACATAGTGAAACCTCATCTCTACACAAAATAAATTGAAAAAATTAGCTGGGACAGGGCGCAGTGGCTCATGCCTGTAATCCCAGGACTTTGGGAGGCCAAGGCAGGCGGATCATCTGAGGTCAGGTGTTTGAGACCAGTCTGGCCAACATCGTGAAACCCTGTCTCTACTAAAAATACAAAAAAATAGTTGGGCATGGTGGCGTGCACCTATTATCTCAACTACTCGGGAGGCTAAGGCAGGAGAATCACTTGAACCCGGGAGTTGGAGGTTGCAGTGAGTAGAGATCGTGCCATTGCACTCCAGCTTGGGCGACAGAGCAAGACTCTGTCTCAAAAAAAAAAAAAAAAAAAAAATTGGCTGGGTGCCGAGGCACATGCCCATAGTCCCAACTACTTGGGAGGCTGAGGTGGGAGGATCACTTGGGCCCAGGAGATGGAGGCTGCAATGAGCCCTGATCATGGCACTGCACTCCAGCCTGGGTGATAGAGCAAAACCCTGTCTCAAACATCAAACAAACAAACAAAACAGTGGCACAAGAAAGCAAGGCATGCATGGAGCAGCACAGTTGTTTGGTTTGAGGCCATCTGGCACAGGTAACTGCCTGGATTTAATCCTGGCTCACCAGGTACAGGCTGTGTGACCTTGGACAAGCCATTCAAGTTCTCTAAGCTTCAGATTACCCTCTGTCAAGTGGGGGAGAATAATAGTGCTTAAGTCATAAGATTGGTGTTAAGGGTTAAAGGAGGTGATCAGTATAACTCGCTGGCATGTAGGCAGTGCTCAATAAATGGTTATTATTATTTAGTAGTAATACTATTGCTGAATACAAAGAGTATTGGGGCAGATATGAAACAGGCAGAAAGGATGAAATTATGCAGGGTCTTCAATGGTGGCCTACTGAGTTTGGACTTTATCCTAGAAGTGGAGGAGAGCCAGTGAGTGAGTCTGGGGAAGACGCGATGGGGTTTTTGTTAGGAAGATCACTCTGGCTGCAAGGAGGAGGCTGGGTGAGGTTTGGGGAGAATGTAAGCAGAGCTGATTGGATGCTGGGGAGGATGGCGAGGAAGCTCTCATTTGCAACATCTGTTTCTGGCTCGGCCAACGGGGATGGGGAACATAGAGTGAGGAGCAGGTGTGCTGTGAGATGGCGAACCTTCAACAGAGCCTGAGACGCCCGCGGAACACCAGGAGAGTTCCAGTGGGGATTTGCAAATAGGGATCCGGCTCCCCCGCGGAGATGACGGGAATTTTAGCGCATCAGGCATAGCTGAGACTGTCTACGTGGTAAAACCATGCCTGAAAAGACCTTTGGAAAATCAGGAGGTTGCTGGAGCCCTTGGAGAGAGCTTTGGTGTCTGTGACATGTGGAAGTGGAAGCCAGATTGAGGAGGGGGTGCGAGGGAAGGGGTGAAGCAGCTGGCCAGCGTGTTCTCTCCTGCGGCCTGACTGAAGCAGGGAGGAGGCAACCAGGAACCCACAGCTGGAGAAGGACGCTGGGCAGGGGTGGGACAGTTTGCTGGGAAGGATGAGACTCCAGTGTGTGGGAGCCGATCAGTGGGAGGATGGAAGGTATGGGGGAGACGGAGGCCTCTGCAGAGGGAGAGGATAGCACAGGAGCCAGGGCTGAAGGGAACAGTGGCTCTGGACTGAGGCTAATGGGCCTGAAGGTAGGCCCCTTCCCCTGTGAAGGCGTCATTATCTGAGGAGCCGTGAGGGATGGGCAAGAAGCAGCAGCTTGGGAATGCCGCCTGAGGTCAGTGGAAATGAAGCTGAGGGCAAGACAGTTAGGGCCCCACTGTTCCAGCATTGTGGGAATTGCGGTGGAGTGTGTGTGTGTGTGTTTGTGCAGGGAGGGGTTCCTGGCAGAGTCAGGCACGGATGGATTTGGAGGTCCCTTGAAGAAACTTCCTTCAGGCCAGCCTGAAGTGTGAGAGACTCTGAGGGGGTGCAATGCATGCCAGCCATCCCCTCCTCGCAGCCCTGCCTCACCCCAAAACTTCAGGTGGGCCTGGGGCTGAGGTGCTTGGATGTTTGTCGTAAGAGCTTCTAACTCTGCCGCTCCACCCGGCTCTCAGTGGCTCAGGTCTGAGAGGCCTCAGCAGGGGCAAGGAGAGGAGGCAGTGAGGAGGGAAGGCTCTGGAGGAAGAGGGCGTGGCAGCGGGTCTTCGAGGCAATGCCAGGGAGGCCCAGGGCATGGGGGTGAGGAGCTAGAACTGAGCTCTGAGCCCTCCTCTGAGGTTGGGGCTTCTGGGCAGGCAGCCCCCTTAGAGGCCCTCCCTTGTAGGTATTCGGCCTTGGTTCCGTGGCCCATATGGTTCTAAATAAAAAATATGGGAGCTACCTTGGTGTCAACTTGGGTTTTGGCTTCGGAGTCACCATGGGAGTGCACGTGGCAGGCCGCATCTCTGGTGAGTGAGCCCAGGCCCTGCCGGACCGGGCAAGACCAGGTGTCCCCAACAGGCTCTTTCCTGCCCGCCTCAGCCAGCTTCTTTGCCAGCACAGCCAGTGCCTCAGCCTGGCCACCGGGCGGGAGGAAGTCTCCTCTGAACCCCGTGCCTATGACGTGTTTGCCCCAGATTCTTCCTGGGCCCCCCGACCTACCATTTTCACTGGCTGGGTCATCTTAGGCAAGCCATCGCCTCTGTGTTCCTCAGTTTCCTTGAGAGTGAAACGAAGATGGTGGCCCCTGCCTCACGGGGTGGTTGTGAGGGCTCAAGGAGAGAGCTCTGTCACGGAGCATGCTGTCATACACACTAGCCATCGTTGTTCTCATACTGTTTGTCACTGTTGTTTGTTCTGCTCTCACTCCCTGACACACTTGCCTGCTGCCCGCAGGAGCCCACATGAACGCAGCTGTGACCTTTGCTAACTGTGCGCTGGGCCGCGTGCCCTGGAGGAAGTTTCCGGTCTATGTGCTGGGGCAGTTCCTGGGCTCCTTCCTGGCGGCTGCCACCATCTACAGTCTCTTCTACAGTGAGTATCCTGCCCGGGTGTCCGCCTCTGGCCTCAGCCGCCTCCTATGAAATATGGGCAGATTGGACCTCAGTGTCCTGATTTGTAAAAAATAGCTGGGAGAAAAAAGCCTTGGAGATCCCCCACCCTCTAACCTATAACCTCATTTCTGGGACCCCGGTGGGGCTTAGTTGGGAGCAGGTTCGCATGACAGTCTGTGTCTCCGCAGCGGCCATTCTCCACTTTTCGGGTGGACAGCTGATGGTGACCGGTCCCGTCGCTACAGCTGGCATTTTTGCCACCTACCTTCCTGATCACATGACATTGTGGCGGGGCTTCCTGAATGAGGTCAGTGGTCGAGGATGAGTATCCCTCCCCCTGCCCTCCACCCCTCAGGACGGAGCCAGCAGGGAGTCCCTCCGGATAGACAGGACAAGAACTCTGGATGGAGACTGTACCGAGACGTGTCTCTGCTGGTGGGCTTGGGTCTGGGGCACTGCCGAGGTCCTGTGGCTTGGGGAGGGGCCCAGGTGAGCTGCCACAGCATCTGCTCCTCAGGCGTGGCTGACCGGGATGCTCCAGCTGTGTCTCTTCGCCATCACGGACCAGGAGAACAACCCAGCACTGCCAGGAACAGAGGCGCTGGTGATAGGCATCCTCGTGGTCATCATCGGGGTGTCCCTTGGCATGAACACAGGATATGCCATCAACCCGTCCCGGGACCTGCCCCCCCGCATCTTCACCTTCATTGCTGGTTGGGGCAAACAGGTCTTCAGGTACTGCCCCTGCCCAGGCCCATTCCTTTGAGTTTTTCTGTGGGTCCCCTGTGTGTTGAGGGGTGGGGGGTGATGTGAGGGGCAGCACAGGAGGGTCCTGCTGAGCCCCCAGGTAGCCTGGGGAGCAGGAGTGAGTCCCAACATTTCCCCAGGCCAGTACAGATACAGATCCTGCACCTGCACTGAGTGTCAACGCTGTCCCTGAATTGGGCTGAGGCTGACCAGGGCCCTGGGTTGGGGGTGTTTCCTGGGGTAGCCTGGGGATGACTCCTCTGCTCAACCTGTCTTGGCCCGAGGTGGATGAGGGTGCTGTCCTGGGCATCAGCCCCCTCAGCAGGCCTCTGCCTCTTGCCTGCAGCAATGGGGAGAACTGGTGGTGGGTGCCAGTGGTGGCACCACTTCTGGGTGCCTATCTAGGTGGCATCATCTACCTGGTCTTCATTGGCTCCACCATCCCACGGGAGCCCCTGAAATTGGAGGATTCTGTGGCGTATGAAGACCACGGGATAACCGTATTGCCCAAGATGGGATCTCATGAACCCACGATCTCTCCCCTCACCCCCGTCTCTGTGAGCCCTGCCAACAGATCTTCAGTCCACCCTGCCCCACCCTTACATGAATCCATGGCCCTAGAGCACTTCTAAGCAGAGATTATTTGTGATCCCATCCATTCCCCAATAAAGCAAGGCTTGTCCGACAGCAGTACCCCCACTTCCTGGGGGCCTCCTGTGGTTGGGCTTCCCTCCTGGGTTCTTACAGGAGCTCCAGGGCTATGTCTTAGCCCAAGGTGTAGAGGTGAGGCACCTCAAGTCTTTCATGCCCTGGGAACTGGGGTGCCCCAGGGGGAGAATGGGGAAGAGATGACCTGCGCCCTCAGTAGGAACAGGGTGAGATGAAAGAACGACAGAATGAGGGATTTTCAGGCACGGGGGAAGGAAGGGTGGTTTTGGGGAACAGACCGTAGCTGACTGGTTGGGGGCCGGCTTTGGAAATACTTTGAGGGGATCCTGAGATTGGACTCTAGACTCTCCCCTGGTTCTTCCCTTCCCTGAGTTCTGGCCGGTTCTTGGACCAGACAAGGCAAGGCCCAAGAATGTAGATCAGAATTTTTTAGCCTTTTTTTCATTAGTTCCTTCCCTAGTATTCTTCTAGATTTTTTTTTTCTTAATCACATGAAATTTTAATACCACAGATGTACTATATATCTGTTTATGTTCTGTATATGTTCTGTGCTTTATACATAAAAAAGAGTAAGATTTTTTTTTCACCTCCCCTTTTAAGAATCAGTTTTAATTCCCTTGAGAATGCTTGTTATAGATTGAAGGCTGTTAAGGGGTTGGGCTCCTCTTTCTTCTTCCTGGTGCCAGAGTGCTCCCACATGAAGGAATAGGAAAGGAAGATGCAAAGAGGGAAATCCTTCGACCACATGAAGACACAGGAAGAGGCCTCATAGGGCTCCAAGGGCTCCAGGGAAGCAGGTGCAGAGGTTGGGTGGGGTGAGGGGCCAGGATCCACTGACCCTGGGGCCAGGCAGGAATCACTCTGTTGCCTGGGGCTCAGAAGGCAGCATCACCCATGGTTCCTGTCCTTGCTCATGCATTTTGCCTTTCAATAATTATTGTGCATCTACTGTGTGCAGGCCCTGCCTGGACACTGGGGATGCGCAGTGGATGCGCTGGGCTCTGCCTTTGAGGGTTGCAGTTTAATGGGGGACAGGTAATTATATGGAAGAAGGTGAGTGCAGAGTGGGAGGCTTGGAGGCTGTGGGGCTCGGGGTAGGGGAGCTCACATCCAGCCTCTGGGCCAAGGCCAGGAGGCTTCCCAGAGGAGGAGACAGAGCAGGGTATGGTGGTGGGGGGTGTCCTTTTTGGGGGTGGGAGCTGCACTTTACAGTTTGAGGGGATGGGCAGAGGAGGCTGGGCTTCGTTCTGGAGGTGGGGACACGGTGAGGTGAGGTTTAGAAAGCACACCTGAGCCGCAGTGTGTAGGATGCTGGAAATGGTGGAGATGGGCCTGCGAAAGTGATGACCCAGGAGCAGCAGCCGGGCACCTAACAATGGGTCAGCACCGTGGGCGTGGAGACGAGAGCGGGGATTGATCAATACCGGAGAAGTACAATGTACAGGACTTGGGTTCCATTTGGATGGAGTGGGTGAGGGAGAGGGAGGAGTCAGAAATGGCTTCCGGTTTCCAGCTTGGGCCTGGGGATTGGAGATGTCCCCACTGAGAGTAGGGCACAAGTGAGGAAATGGTTTGGAGAGGAAGATAAGTTACATCATGGACATGCTGAGTCTGAGTTGCCTATGGGACTTGGAATGGGGGGTGGCAAAATGTGTGTGATCTTGAGCAAGATATTCAACCCTTCTGGGCCTTGGTCTTCTTATTTGTAAAATGGCGATAAGAATATTACTTCCCATTTGTGTTGCTGTGAATATTAAATGCGCTACCACATGTAAAATGTTGAGAATCATTTCTGGCTCAGAGTAAGTGCTCAATAAACACAGTTATGCCTTTTATATGGTCTGGAGCTCAGAAGCGGAAGACAGGGTTTCGTGAAGTCATGGCTTTGTGGATGTAGCTAGATTGTGGAGTAATGACAGGAGGGTTGGGGGCATGGCACAAGGTAGGTGGTCAAGAGACACTGGACACAACCCAAATGTCCATCCACAGGGGAACAGATACATACACTGCTGCGCAATTGCACATAATAGAACCCTCTACAATAGCAAAAATTAAGGCACAACAGACACCTGCAACAACACAGAAAAATTCTGGAGGCATAAAAGGTAATACAGTAGCCGGGCGTGGTGGTTCACGCCTGTAATCCCAGCACTTTGGGAGGCCAAGGCGGGTGGATCACGAGGTCAAGAGATCGAGACCATCCTGGCCAACATGGTGAAACCCTGTCTCTACTAAAAATACAAAAATTATCTGGGTGTTGTGGCACACACCTGTAGTCCCAGCTACTCGGGAGGTTGAGGCGGGAGAACTGCTTGAACCTGGGAGGCGGAGGTTGCAGTGAGCCAAGATTGCATCACTGCATTCCAGCCTGGCGACAGAGCTAGACTCGGTCTCAAAAAAAAAAAAAAAAAAAGAGCCTGGTGTAGTTGGGCACCTGTAATCCCAGCTACTCAAAAGGCTGAGGCAGGAGAGAATCCCTTGAACACGGGAGGCGGAGGTTGCAGTGAATGGAGATTGTGCCACCGCACTCCAGCTTGGGTGACAGAGTGAGACTGTGCCTCAAAAAAAACAACAACAAAGTAATACAGTAGACTATATACAGTGTGACACCAGTCTTGTAGCTGAAAAATAAGCAAAAATACATTCTTTGCTATATATATGTATGTAAGAAAACTATTTTAGAAAAAGAAATAATTCCTACAGGCAGATGGAGAGGAACACAGGAGTAGTACAAACTATTAATAATTTTCTAGTTTTGGGTTTGGACATTTGCGGGTTTATTACATGATCGTGCTTGATAACATATAAATGTGATACATATTGTTTGTATGAGATATATATATTATATATATATATATATATATATATATTTTTTTTTTTTATGGAGTCTCTCTCCCGTCATGCAGGCTGGAGTGCCAGTGGTGTGATCTCGGCTCACTGAAACCTCTGCCTCCTGGGTTCAAGCAATTCTCCTTCCTCAGCCTTTCAAGTAGCTGGGATTACAGGCATGCGCCACCACGCCTGGCTAATTTTTGTATTTTTAGTAGAGACCAGGTTTCGCCATGTTGGCCAGGCTGGTCTCAAACTCTTGACCTCAGGTGATCCACCCGCTTCCGCCTCCTAAATTGTTAGGATTACAGGCGTGAGCTCCACCGCCTGGCCAGTATGTAGGTATATCTAAAAACACAAAGAAGGAATAGCTGTAGTGTGAGGACGGCGGAGTTGGGGGGCGGAGTGGGGGGCGCCAGGGGGAGGGGAGGGGTAACAGGTGGGAGCCTGGTGAGATCACAGGGAATCCAGGGAGGATGACTGTATCTGACGTCCCACGGTGGGAGGAGCCGAGCCAGGGGAACCAGGGCTGGGAGTGACCAGGGAAGGGCCCACAGCTGGAAGTCCCCAGCTGTACAGTAGCCTTCCTCGGTAACCTTCTACAAGCCCCTTCCCCCCTCTCACGCTCAGTGGCCCTGTGAGCCTTTCTCATTGTTGGCATTCCAGAGCAGCATGGTCCCAAGGCCTCAGTTACAGCTTAGAGAGGCATATACGGGGCCCAGGGTTCTGGTTCCTACCCTCCTCTGTCCCTCCCTGAGCACTTCAGCCCTCTGGCATCCTCCTGTCCCTGGGAGGGGCCCTGGAGGCAGGGCGGCCATGGGTTCATACAGAGCCCCCACCTGCTGTCCACTGCTCTGCCACAGGCTTGCACTAGGCCTGTTGCCCCTAACACCTTGCAGTTTCTGGTCCCAACGTCAGGCTCAGATGAGCCCTGACCAGTCGCAGAGCAATCCTTTCCATTCTCTTGGCAGGTATCAGGTGAGAGCCCCCAACGTGCCAGGCACCATTCCAGCATTGAGGACACAGGCGTAAGGAAGATAAAAGTCCTTGTCCTCATGGAGCTAGCGTTCTATGTAAAATATATGGCATGTTATAGATGCTATGGAGAAAAAGCAGGCACAGTGTCTAGAAAGTGTGGGGAGGTGTGAAGAGAAGATGGCCTCACTGAGAAGGTGACTTTGAGTAAAGACCTGAAGGAGTGAGGGAGTGAGCCATGTGGACACTTGGGGAAAGAACATGCCAGGCTGAAGGAACAGCCAGTTCCCTGAGGGGGAGCTGGAGGGGCCATGGTGCTGGAATGGAAAGAGGAAAGGGGAGATGTCAGAGAAGTAAAGGGGATGGTGGGTGGACTGAGGCCAGGCCTTGGGGAGAGATGAAAACAAGGGTTGGGGCAGAGGTGAGGGAAGTCTCTGGAGGAGAAAGGCAGGTCCTTCTTCAGGAAGGAAGGAAGGAAAGAAGGAGAGAGGGAGGAAGGAAGGGAGGGAGGGAGGCATTAGGATAAGGTGGGGTGGGCATCATAGCACCTTGTGGGTCCCTGCTCTTGGTTTTGCTGTCACGCACACACGTGCATGCACGCACACACATGCACGCACATGCATGCATATGCATGGTTCCTCCTGTAGATGGATCTGTGCAGCTGTGGGACCCAGGCTGGGACATGAGCCATGGGAGCACTGGACCCTCTCCCATTCTCCCAGTCCCAGCATGGACTGGTTGTGTGACCTGGATAGGACCCCTCCACTCTCTGGGCCTCAGTTTCCCCATACAGAAGGCTTGGATCTTTTGGTATCTGGGGAGCCCCCCAGCTCTTCTTACAGCACTTTGAAGCCTCACGTCATGGCCCCACTCCCAGGCCAGGCCCATCCAGGGCTCTGCAGATGAATGTATGGTCCTCAGCCTGGTAGTCCCAGCTTTGAGAGGAGCCCCTTACCCTTGCCTGGCCTGCTCTCCCATTCAGCTCCAGGGATTCCAAGGGATACTGGCAGCACCCTGGTCTGGCTAGTCTTAGGTTTCCTCCCTCAGATGGGGTCCTGCCGCCTAGGAAGAGGTGGGAGCAGCCACCTCAGGCCTGGCCTGGTGCTGGCACCCTCAGTGTGAAGAGGCCGGAGTCACTCCGAACAGCACAGCTGCTCCACACCCACCTCTGTGCTGATCTTACAGTAGGAACAGTGAAACTCAGGGTGACCCCGGCCCTCCTGTACATGGCAGGGGCTCATACTCTGGCACTTAGCACAGACAACGAAGCCAGCCCGCCCGGATCCAAATACCGGCCCTGCCACTCACTAGCCGTATGACCTTAGGTAAGATAATAGCTCCCACTTCACAGCGCCACTGGGAGGATGACACGGGCGATGCCTGGCACATGGGAGTGTGTGTGCTGCTGTCACTAAGCACCCTCTAAAGGGAGCTGCATGTCGTCATGCACATCTGACACACAGGGAAACTGAGGCTGGGGAGATTGGCTCAGTAAGGGGCAGAGAGCAGGAATTACAGCCCTTGTCAATGTGCCCGTGAAGCCTGTGCTTTCACCCAGAAACCAAGGAGGTGACCTTGGCTAGTTTTTGTTTGGTTTTTATTTTATTTTTTTATTTTTTGAGACGGAGTCTTGCTCTGTTGCCCAGACTGGAGTGCAGTGGCGCGATCTCGGCTCACTGAAACCTCTGCCTTCCGGGTTCAAGTGAATCTTCTGCCTCAGCCTCCTGAGTAGCTAGGACTACAGGCATGCGTTACCACGCCCGGTTAATTTTTGTATTTTTAGTAGAGACGGGGTTTCGCCATGTTGGCCAGGCTGATCTTCAACTCCTGATCTCAGGTGATCCACCTGCCTCCGCCTCCCAAAGTGCTGGGATTACAGGCCTGAGCTACCACACCCAGCCTTGTTTGGTTTTTAAACTGTGTATTAAGTATATTTTGTAAACATGAGTATATATAACATATAGGTATAGTTAAAATAACAAACACACAAAACAAAACTACAGATAAAAAAAAAAGGCCGGGCGCGGTGGCTCACGCCTGTAATCCCAGCACTTTGGGAGGCCGAGGCGGGCGGATCACGAGGTCAGGAGATCGAGACCATCCTGGCTAACACGGTGAAACCCCATCTCTACTAAAAATACAAAAAATTAGCCGGGCGAGGTGGCGGGCGCCTGTAGTCCCAGCTACTCGGGAGGCTGAGGCAGGAGAATGGCGTGAACCCCAGGGGGCGGAGCCTGCAGTGAGCCGAGATTGCGCCACTGCACTCCAGCCTGGGCGACAGCGAGACTCCGTCTCAAAAAAAAAAAAAAAAAAAACACTCAAGTGTGCACCCTGAACTTTGGGCAAGTGATTTAACTTCTGTGGGCCTCAGTTTTCATACCTCAAAAATGGGATAATGGGGCTGAGAGGAACTGAGATGCTTCAAGTTTAATTCTTGACACTGGCATTCCCTTGTGACAGAGCAAGGCTGGGTGGAGTTTACCAGAGCTCATGGTCTCTCCTTGTCTCTGCGGTCAGGAGCCAAGGTGGGGGTTCTGGAGAGGATGCTCTGGGCCTAGTGGGAGGGCCTGGTGAGTCGAGGGTGGAGGCTCCGAGGCTGGGTCAGGGGCTGAGGGAGAAGACATACAAAGCTCACACAGATGAGGCCCCAAATTTTGGGTTGATCCTTTGAGTCCTCCAGGGACCCAACCAAACCCTCACTGGCCAATGAGGAGAAGTCCTTAGATGGGGGTTGCAACAGGCCCCTGGAAGAGCCCCGTCAGGGCTAGCAAAACTGTGTTCTTGCCCTCCCCAACCCTCGCCATTCCCCAAGCCCTGCCTTGGCCTCTGGTCCTGTGCCAGGGGATATGAGATGATAAACTTCTAAGGGAAAGGGAGACTCAGTTTTTGGGCGGAGGAAGGCCAGTTGAAGGTGCCCTCCTGGGCCCATCCAACCCTTTCGCCCTGCAGAAGTCTCTGATGTGGGAAGGGGATGCCTCATTTTAGAGGCCCTCCAGAGCCCCGCTGGAAGGACTCCCTCTTTCCCCACCACGCCTGACCCTCAACCCAGTGCCTACCCCAGCTCTCAAGGAACTTCTCACCCATACCAGGCAGTCTTGTTCACCAGGGACAGGGGTTAGGGGGGCTCCAGCTAGAGGGAATGGCAGGAACAAAGGCACAGAGATTGGAGCCCCAGGCTGCTCAGAGTGGCTGCAGAGGAGTGTCAGGCCTCTGAGCCCAAGCTAAGCCATCATATCCCCTGTGACCTGCATGTATACATCCAGATGGCCTGAAGCAATTGAAGATCCACAGAAGAAGTGAAAATAGCCTTAACTGATGACATTCCATCGTGATTTGTTTCTGCCCCACCCTAACTGATCAATGTACTTTGTAATCTCCCCCCACCCTTAAGAAGTTTCTTTGTAATTCTCCCCACCCTTGAGAATGTACTTTGTGAGATTCACCCCTTGCCCGCAAAACACTGCTCCTAACTCCACCGCCTATCCCAAAACCTATAAGAACTAATGATAATCCCAGCACCCTTTGCTGACTCCTTTTTCGGACTGAGCCCGCCTGCACCCAGGTGAAATAAACAGCCTTGTTGCTCACACAAAGCATGTTGGTGGACTCTCTTCACACGGATGCGCGTGACAGGGAGCAGGCAAGGTAGGGAGTGGCTGGAGGTGCTTAGGGCCAGGGTGGGCAGCGGGGACTTTCATCTCTTAGAAAGTCAGAGAAGAGTGTTAAGCCAAGTCATGGCAGAGCCAGATTTGTGCCTGAGAAGAGGCCCTTTAGCCCTGTGTGGAGGCTGAATTGGAAGGGGAGGGACTGGAGGCAGGAGAGCAAGGAGAGGCAGCTGAATTGACACAGCTGGTGAAGGGTGGGGGAGAAGAGAGGATGACCAGATAAGAGATTCAGAAGCTGGAAGTTATGGACCTTGAGTCGGCTGTGGGAAGGGTGGAAGGTGTTGTCCAGGGCTCTGTCTAGGAACTGGGTAGGTGGCAGAGACATCAGAAGACAGTTTGCGGGGGAAAGATGGCTGCGGTATTGAACATGCTGAGTAGGAGAGGCTCGTGGGACATCTAGGGAAAGCCAGGGATCTGGGCTGGAGACAGAGCACTGAAGCCCAGCAGTGGCAGTTGAAGGCTTGCAGGTGGACGAGGTGGCCCAGGGAGAGATTGCGGAGCCCTCTAGAGCACCCATATTGGGGGATAAGAAAAGGAGAGGAAGTCGGCCGGGCGCGGTGGCTCACTCCTGTAATCCCAGCACTTTGGGAGGCCGAGGCGGGCAGATCATGAGGTCAGGAGATCGAGACCATCCTGGCTAACACGGTGAAACCCCATCTCTACTAAAAATACAAAAGATTAGCTGGGTGCGGTGGCAGGTGCCTGTAGTCCCAGCTACTCGGGAGGCTGAGGCAGGAGAATGGCGTGAACCCGGGAGGTGGAGCTTGCAGTGAGCAGAGATTGCACCACTGCACTCCAGCCTGGGTGACAGAGCAAGACTCCGTCTCAAAAAAGAAAAGAAAAGGAGAGGAAGTAGCCAAGGCTCATGGCCTCCTTTGGCCCTGGGAGCCTGAACACTCTGAGGCCTTAACTGACTATGTGCCCTGGGGCCAGGCCCTTCTCTCAAGGGGTTCAGACAGGTCAGGATAAGTGAGAGAAACTCATCCTCTCCTAGGCAACCTGGAAGAAAACCCTAGAGCCCCTCACCCTACAGGACTTCCTGTAGCACTGAGTCCTGCAGCTTCAGCCCCTGTCTCTGGCTTTGGACATCTCTAACTTTCCCTGTTCTCAGCTTCCTGCCTTCAGGATGAGGGTGTGCCCGGGGCACAGTTGTCTTTGGATATCTTCTCTTTCACCCTCCTTCCCTACATGGTTTCACCAGCCTTTAAATACCATTATAGGCGCCATTAACAGCTCCACAAATTAGATTTCCAGCCCAGTCCTGCCTCCAGACTTCAGACTCCCACGCACAACTGCCTACTGGACAGATTTTCATCCCCAAGCCTGCTCCTCCCACAGGCTTTCCTATCTCAGTAAACAGCGCACTCAGTCTTCCAATTGCTCAGGCCAAAAACTTTAAAGTCATCCCTGACTCTCCGCTCACTCTCACACCCCACGTCCCAGCTGTCGGCAAAAGCTGTAGGTGTTAATCTGCAACATGTATCCAGAATCCAGCCACTCCTCACCGCTACAGCACTGTTACCTTGGTTCCAGCCAGTGCTGCCTCTTTCAGACTATAGCAGGGGCCTTCTGGTCTTCCAGCCTCTTCCCTTGTTCCCACTCAGCCCTGTGGTCTAGTCTCAGTACAGCAGCTGGCATTACCCTTTAAAAAATGAGCTAGGGGGCTGGGTGCGGTGGCTCAAACCTGTAATCCCAGCACTTTGGGAAGACAAGGCAGGCGGATTACCTGAGGTCATGAGGTTGAGACCAGAATGGCCAACATGGTGAAACCTCGCCTCTACTAAAAATACAAAACTAGCCGGGCGTGGTGGTGCAGGCCTGTAATCTGAGCTACTCGGGAGGCTGACACAGGAGAATCGCTGGAACCCAGGAGGCGGAGGTTGCAGTGAGCTGAGATCATACCATTGCACTCCAGTCTGGGGGACAGAGCGAGACTAGTCTCAAAAACAACAGCAACAGTAACAACAAAAGCTAGCTTCATCATTCACTCCTTTGCCTTAAACCTTCCCATGGCCTACAAAGGCCCACCCTATCAGGTTCCCTTTGTTACTGTTCTGAGCCCTGCTACTTCCCCCATCAATCACTCCCCTACAGCCTGACGGCCTTGCTGTTCCTTCAAGTTGTATAGCGCGCTGCCACCTCAGAGCCTTTGCAACGGCTTTCCCTCTCTGCCTTGAATTTCCTTCCGAACTGTGTGCGTTTTTTTTTTCCCCTGGTGCCCATACTGTGTATATCAACTAGCAGAGAGAAAATAATATTAAAAAAATGAAAATGTGACAAATTTTGAAAATATTGGTTATAAACTCTACTGAAGAGTTTTAAATAAAGAGAGCTTTCCTGAGGCAAAGTGTAAGCGTTCCTCCACCCCACCCCCAGGCTCCAGGTTTAGGGATACATACTGCACCCTAGTGGCCACTGGAGAAAAAGCCCTGTCTTCTAGAGCAGGAGTTGGGGATTAACCGGTGTTTCCTGCTTTGGGACATGTGTAAACTTCCCTCCCCCTTGGACTGACCTGGGCCACTCTGCCCCAGGAACTCCAAGAGGAGCTGTACAAATGCTCCAATTCCAAGGCAGTTTTAAGACAGTTTCAGGGGCAATTCACAGCTCTTGTCAAGGACACAGACCTGAGAGGAATTTCAGATCACCGGTTGTTTGCTGAGTGATCTTCGGCAAGTGACCTAACTTCTCTGATCTTTAGTTTCCCCTCTAGTAAAATGAGGATAATAAGAATACATACTTCATGGGGATTTTTTTTTTTTTGAGACATCTCTCTCTGTGGTGTAGGCTGGCGTGCAGTGACACAACCTTGGCTCATTGCAGCCTCAAACTCCTGGGCTCAAGCAATCCTCCCACCTCAGCCTCCCGAGTAGTTGGGACTACAGGTGCATGCCACCACAACTGGCTAATTTTTGCATTTTTTGTAGAGACGGGGTCTCACTTTGCTGCCCAGGCTGGTCTTGAACTTCTGGGCTCCAGTGATTCCCTCCTGCCTCAGCCTCCCAAAGTGTTGGGATTACAGGCCTGAGCTACTGCACCTGGCCTTTGTTTTTTTGGAGGCAGGGTCCTGCTCTGTCGTCCAGGTTGCAGTGCAGTGGTACAAACGTGGCTCACTGTAGCCTCCTGGGCTCGCACAACTTCTGGGTTCAAGCGATTCTCCTGCCTCAGCCTCTTGAGTAGCTGAGATGTGTGCCACCATGCTGGTTTCATGGGGCTTCGAGGAGTAAGAGATGGCTGTGGTGCTCAGCACATATTAAGCGCTCAATAGCCGTTACGTACTGTTAAAAAAGGTTCTTGGGAAAATGTGAGCAGATGAGGACTTTCAACTCCCTCACTGATGTGTCAAGCTTGAAGCTAGTGAGGGGAGTGTCAGTGGGGGTGACCAAAACCTTGGCCCTTGTCTAAGCAGCTTGACTACGGCTCTGTTCCTTTCCCTCTTCCCCAAGAGCTATTCTCTGAGAGCTGTACCAGGTATGGGCTCCAGAGGTTTGACTGTGCTGAGATGCCACGTGGCACTGGGAGACTCTCCTGATCTCTGACCCTCATTGTCTACCCACCACCCTCAGGACGGCTCTGGGAAGCACATGATCAGGAACCATTATCTCACCTGACAGATGCAGAAACTGATGCCCAAACTGCCCAGGGACAGAGTGAGCTGAGGCAGCAACACAGACATCCTAGCTGTCCAGCTGGATTCTCTGCAGACAGCTCTCCCAGAAGGCTGTGCATTATGAAGAATGACCTTGCAAAGCCTGGGCTGAGGGGAGCCTGGGACACTGGCAAGGACTTCCCACTGAGCTGTGTTTGGGGAAGCCAGGAAGAAAAACAGCTCCCCTTGTCCTGAGGACTCAGCCCCCTCCTGGTACAGGATGTTTCTAGTGTGGCAGTGTGACCCCAGGGAACCTGTTCCTTCTGGGCTTGGCCTTTGTAGGCTGAGGGACTGACATGGCCTAGAGAAGCCCCTGGCTATCCTTGAGCCATGGGAGATGGTACGGGACATCTGTGTTGAGGCCATGTGGGAAGTTAGGGAGGCTGAACTTTCCAATATTTGTGTGTGAGGAAGGCTAATGAGGAAGGCAGGTCTGCCATGGTGAAGGAGCTGGCCTGGCCGTCCCTCCCCGATTTTAGAAGAGGAGGCACATCAGCAGGTTCTCCTTAGGGAACAAGGTCTCCAGGCTTTCAGGCATAAAGAAGGAAGGCCAGCACTACACAGGAGGGATTCTCCCCCAAACCTTAATCTATAGGACTCAGTGAGCGAGTCTTTGCCCTTCCCCCTCCCTCAAGACTGACACTCCTCCTCCTCCTCCTCCCCTGCCACCTTCTCTGGCCTCTCCAAGACAGGATCTAGGGCTGTGGCCAACAGACCTGCAATTAGGAGGGCCTGCTCTCATCTCCACAGTCCCGCACACACCCACTATTGCATGCCAGGCAGGTAACACTATTGAGAACAGCCGGCCCTGCCAAACAAGCCAGAGGGAATTTCAGAGAGAAGAATTTGGTCGCTGGAAAGCTCTAGCCCATAAAAACTCTCCTGCTGAAAGAGAGTATGGGAGCAGGGAGAGAAGTTACCACCTGATTCTCAGGGAGCAACAGCTTGGGGTCCTGGTGCCCTCCCTCCATGCATGGGGTGGTGGAGGCACAGGGGTCTTCCCGTCTAGCTCATGCTCCTGTACACTCTTGTCCAGTGCCACTGCTCAGTGAGGAATCCACCAAAGCTACAAGCAGCAGCTTCCCCTTGCTGAGGAGACCGGGGGTCTCCCCTTGGTGATATGAGGGGGGCTAGTTCTCCCGCTAACCTCTGGCATCCAATCCTACCTCCCTGATCTGAATCTCTTCCCTCTTTGCAGTGCCAACCCCCATCACCCTCATTTTCTCTCACCCGGATCACTTCTGCAGCTTCCTGGCTGAGCTTCCTGCCTCCAAGTAGCCCTCCAATCCCTTCTATACTCTTCTGCCTGAGGGACTGCTCCAGAACAGGGTGGGTAAAATAAAGTCCCTGGTCAAATCTAGCCTGCTGCCTGTTTTTGCACAACTCATGAGCTAAGAATGGTTTTTATGTTTATAAATCGTTGGGGAAAAAAGTCAAAAGAATATTTTGTGACATAAAAATCATATGAAATTATTTCGGTGTGCACAAATAAAGCATTAGAACAGAGCCTTACTCTTTTCATTTGCATATTGTCTACGGCTGCTTTCACACTACGATGGCAGAGTTGGATAGCTGCAACAGAAACTATAAGTCTCACAGTCTACAATATTTACTATCTGATCTTTTTTCACAAAACATTTGCTGAATCCTGGTCTAGATCCTAAATCTGGCCATGCCACTCTGCTTAGAATTCTTGTCACTCCCTGTGGCTCTCCACGAGCTGACCCCTGTCCACCTGTCCAGCCTCATCACCTGTGCCCCTAGTTGTCTGCCTGCTCTGGACAACCCTTACTCAACCATTCCCCCAGCCCTGTCTCCTGCTGTTTACCTTCTCTCAGCATGGGCCTCTTTCCTCCTCCAAATGGCAGCCTACCATCTCAAGCCTCAGCTCAAATGCTTCCTCCCATTTCACTTTCCCACACGTGTCCTGCTCTGACCCCCAGAGCTAACCCATTTCTACCGCAACTTCACAAAATATTCCTCTTAGGACTCTTCAGCTTTTAATAACCGATTAACAACCTGTTGGTGGCAGACTAGCCAATTCCACTGAGAACATCTGTTCACGTGTGTCCTCCCTGGATTACTAAATGTACGAAACCAGGCTGCTTCCCACAGCCCTGGCACAAGGCTGGCACAGGGTAGGCATGCAAATATTCACCAGAAGAGGCCTGGTTAGCATTCCACACCTTCTACTTGGCTAGTATTATGGAGGAAGATGTGTACATATTTTCTAGATACTAAGTATCATTTTTATGAACTTTGAGGATCAGGTACCTCCACGTGTATTACTCCTTTAATCTTCATAACCCTAATGAGGTCAGTGAAACTTTCATCGCATCAAGCGGCAAATTATGTGGCACAGCTAGAATCTGAAGTCAGGTCTCCTGCCTTTTGCTGATTCTGAGATACTCTCACACGTACTATTCACCCACTGAACCCACTGCTTGAAAGAGGTAACAGATGCTCATGGGCTTCCTGTTGTGTGTGGGGCCACTGACCTGCACTACATGGGTCCAGAGAGAGGTGGTTTTGTTTTGTGTCACTTCCCTCCAGTCACCTGTTCCTGCTGCTGTACCTGATCCCTTTTGAAGCAGACTGGGTAAGGACCAAAGGACAGCCCTGCTACAGGAGGAGGAGGATTGAGGAAAAAAAATGAAAAGAAATAAAAAAATGAAAACACCAAAAGGCAGCCCTATAAAGTTAAATTTTATAATTTAATTAAGTGCTTGTTTTTGTCACTCTACTTCTCAAGTCTCCTGCTACTGCTCTGGGGCTCATGGCTTGCTCTAGGGCAGAAGGAAGTTGCTGGAAGCCTGGCCTCCAGGCTGGAGGGGTGCCAATGCAAGGGTCACACTAATGGAACTATCAATGCACCTGCCTTAAAGGAGCCTGAAGAATGCCTCCAGTGGGCTGCTGGGCATAAGCCCTGGACTGTCCATATACTACTTGGAATATTCAAACAGAGTCCAGAGCTCAGAGGCAGGGAGAGCCAATAGGCTGCTGAAGGCCTAGGGAAAGCAACACAGGACAGTTGTCCATTTGAGACTCTTTCTCTATCAAAGAGGAGTTAGGGATATACTGGTCAGTTCAGAGACCACAGTGTGACCCTGGCAGAAGAACTTGCTCTCTATATTTCCTACCATCATGGGGGACGGCCAAACTGATTGTTACTGAACAGGTTCAGTGATGTGGTATGAGAAGTGCCAGGGACTTAAGGAAATAGAATTCTGTAAAGCAGCCTGACCCCCTTCTAGGTCTAGAACTGATCACATTGAAAATGCCAAAATAAGTTCAGCTAGATATACCTATGAGAGGTTTTGGCAAAAGACTTAGGTATGATGGCTGGGTTTAAGATAACATGTGTGATTCCGGATATGGTATACCAATTCATTATTTGGTATTTCAGACTAAAAAATTCATTTGTGCTCCTAAAGATTTTGATCAGTTTGGGTAAAGCAAGCAATGTCTGTCTGATGTTTCAGGCATTTTCAGGAGGACAAATAACTGGGACAACTGAGGCTATGACTTAGTGGCATAAAGTTGGTTTCAGGCTAAAAGTTTGGTTTGTCCAAATAAAGCCCAATAGTCCCTCAACTCTCAGAGCAATCACAGTGATGGTGTAAAGAGCCTCTTTGAATGCGTGATTGCATACCTAGTGACCATACAATCAGAGATCTGGTCATAATGAAACACTTTATACAGACAGGAATAGACAAGGGATTTCTGACACACTCATGCTTTGGATGTGTCAGTACAAGACAGTATGTGAGACTGTGATTCTGCCAGGCAGAGGGGAACGGGCATGATTTATCTGCTGGCAAATAAGTCTCCACTATACCTAATCATTCTTTTATCTAAGTGCATCATGATCTTCTTAGTCCTGGACGTCAAAATAGTCAATTATTGGCTCCTTGGTTATTTTCTGTAAATTACTGCTCCCAGGATTCCTGAAAAACAAACAAAGAATGATCAGTCTTTTCTTCTTTGGGGGAAACAGATACAGGACTTCAGAAAGTTAAGGATCAGCTGATTTACCATTTGTGAATCTTAAACATTTATTTTATTTTTATTTTAGTCTTACTTTTTTTCCTTCTGCCCTTTGTGAGCAATTTTTTTAACTTTTGTGTTTCCTTCTAGATTTACATATTACATGGGGAATTTTATTCTGTGAGATAACAAATTCTCTATTTACACTTTACAGTTTAGAGGTAACCTTTCACAATCTATTTACAGGATTTCATATATGATGATGATTTTACTCTGCCTTCACAGTTCAATGAATGCTCAGTTAACAGCTTAAGCCAAGCGAGCATCTCACTTGTGAAGTTTTGATAGTGGGACAAACATGAGCTGGTGATTTTGAAATTTGGTAATGGGCACATGGGCATTTATGATAGTAATACTATTCTCTCTACTCTAAAACATTTCCATAATAGAGTTTTATACAAAAATAAAGCAAGCCAAGGGTTTTTAAAAAGATAGCATGGGATGGCCAGGTGTGGTGGCTCACGCCTGTAATCTCAGCACTTTGGGAGGCCAAGGCGGACGGATCACGAGGTCAGGAGATTGAGACCATCCTAACACATGGTGAAACCCCGTTTCTACTAAAAATACAAAAAATTAGCCGGGCGTGGTGGCAGGCGCCTGTAGTCCCAGCTACTCAGGAGGCTGAGGCAGGAGAATGGCATGAACCCGGGAGGCGGAGCTTGCAGTGAGCTGAGATCGCGCCACTGCACTCCAGCCTGGGCGGCAGAGCGAGACTCCATCTCAAAAAAAAAGAAAAAAAGAAAAAAGATAGCATGGGATAAACGGGCCAATAACTCCACATGGTTGTGTCTAAGCAGGACTGGACCCGACTCTGGCAGTTTCTGAGAAAACCCCTCATGTTTCCAAAGTGACCGCCCATATGGATTTGCAGACTGTGCTGACCAGAACCTAGGACACCTGGCTCCCAGGAGTGGAGAGGGGCTGGTCCTGGGGACCAGGACGCTCTTGGCTGAGTCTGAGCTCAATGGGCAACACCTAGCTGTCTTCTTGTCCAGTCCCACAGGAACACTAAGTGCTGTGACCTTCATGGTGACCTTGTGAACTGCCGTAACCACCCTTCAGAGGTTTTGTGCAGGAATCACAGAGGAGGTACTGCTAGGACTTGTCTGTGGAAAGCCAGAACAGGAGTAGGCACCCCTCTCCTTCTGGGCTTTGAAGTAACTTTTAGCCACACTGCCTTGGTTACACTAGGGCAGCAGAGAAGGAGCACCATCCTGCCTTCCCTTCCTCTCCCTGACAAGTGACAAACAACTGGGACAACTGGGGCTATGACCAAGTGCTCTAAAGTTGGTTTCAGCCCACAATTCTGGTTTCTCCAAATAAAGCCCAACAGTCACCCAACTCTCAGAGCTCCTTCCCTGCTCCTGTCTGAGAAAACATCTGGCAGACTTGCCCCTTGCCAACTTGGTTTTCTTTTCTCTTTAAATCATGAATATGTTTGTTATAAAAATTATTCAAACCATATAGAAGCAGACAGAGCAAAACAAGAAAGTACTATCCACCCCCGTCACCGGCAATTCTCACCCCCACACCCACTTGCATCTTCAGAGTAACTATTCTTTTTTTTTTGAGATGGAGTCTGTCTCTCTGTCGCCCAGGGTGGAGTGCAGTGGTGCGATCTCGGCTCACTGCAACCTCTGCCTCCAAGGTTCAAGTGATTCTCTTGCCTCAGTCTCCCAAGTAGCTGTGTTTACAGGTGCCCGCCACCACACCCGGCTACTTTTTTATATTTTTAGTAGAGATGGGTTTTCACCTTGTTGGCCAGGCTGGTCTCGAACTCCTGACCTTAAGTGATCCACCCGCCTTGGCCTCCCAAAGTGCTGGGATTACAGGCGTGAGCCACCGCGCCCGGCCCAGAGTAACTATTCCTAACTACACGATGTTTCAGTCTTAAACTATCTGGTATGACAGACTGAATCCACTTCCCAGTGTCACCATCTACACCATGGAAATTATGTCCAGTGACTGCTCTCTCTAGAATCAAGCACTACAAACAACAAACTTAGGACCCCTCTGGTGGGAACAAACGTGTCTGATACCCTAACTAAACATTACATATTTGAACATGGTACCCCAAGGCCAGGCCTGAGGAGGCCACCAATGGCTGGTGCAGCTCAGGACAATTCAGCCCCTGCTAGCTTTTCTGGACAGACAGGTCCCCTTGGAAAGCAGCTGGAGAATCTTACTTGTCTGACTGATGTCTGTGATGAGGAATCGGTGGTGGAGGCCGTGCCTGCATTTCCCTTTCAAGCACACCTGTCAGCGTGGTAGGAGGACAAACGGACTTCCCCCTGATAAAAGTCAAAACACCAAGCATTGAAAAGTGAGAATTGTTTGTGGAGATGGACAGAAAGCTAGAAACTCAGCCCTTGATTTTGGCACTATGACACTACTGAGCACTCTCTGGTATGAACTGTCTGCTCTCAGACATGGCCACCTGCATTTAACCCCCTGTCCCTTCCACCCACCTATGCCAGGCCCGTGGCTTGCTTCATGTCAGACTTGTTTTCTTCACTGGCAAGTTCTTCCTATTCCCAGGTTCTGAGAGTGATCCTAGGTCCTCCCTGTCCCCTCCTGGTCACATTATTGCTTCAGTTTCCTCTGATGGCAAAAACACCATTCACAGGGGATGCCTCGAACCAGAGTCCAGCATTCTTTCTGTTTTCCCCATGCCAAGAGGACAGAGCCAAGGAGAGGACAGACAGAGGAACAGGAGACAGAAGGAGAAAAGAGCAGATATGATGGGCAGGCCCCCTTGCCTGAAGAAATGCTGCTTCCAGCATCTGCTATGACTGTAGGCAGATGTGACACTTGTGCATTTTGAGTGCATCTGCCCTGTGGGTCGAGGCATAGGTTTTGCTCTTTGGCTCAGGCCTTTAGATTATCTGGGAAGTGCCAGAGAAGCAGATTTTCCTTCTACTTTTCCAAGAGGGAGAGTGGTAGTAAGAAAGACAAGTATTGACAGACCCTGCTTCTTGGGTCCAGTTTGCCCTGCTTAGGAGTTCTTCCTCTGACGGCGGGATTGACCTACCTGATGGCAGTGACCACCACATTGCGCTTCGGTTCACTGTCATAGCTCACGCTCTCCAGGCCATAAACTTGGGCCAAGTCATGGATGATCCGGCGGTGGTCTCTGTTCATGGGAGGGAAGCTGTGGCTTTTCTTACTATTCTTTCCCTGTATTGAGGGAAAAGATGACTGATTGATCATATCATTCTGAAAACAAAATGCTTACAACTAATCTTACCACACAAGAATTGCAGGGATCAATAAGAGGTGATTTTAGAGGCCCACAGCATAGAGCATTTTACTAACTGCCAAGCAAGCCTGGAGGGGTTTGGGAAGATGGGCACTGATGCACTTCTTTCACCTACTCTGTGAGCCACAACAGTCGCAGCTGGACAGGGTTAGGGACAAAGGGTAAGTGAACTGCGACTTAGGTAGACAGCATAATGGTTCTTCCTGATGGGTTCCATAACTGGGGAGTGGGTGATATTCCCCAAAAATGACTAAAGACTTACAAAACAAGAAAATATTATTTCCTTTAAAAGTATGTTCTACTTTAAAAATCGTGAGTATTCAGATACAGACACACAAGCAGAGAAACACATCTGTTGGGGTTTCTTAATTAGGAGAGGAATAATGCATTCCATTTTCTCCTTCATGTTAATATTCTGCTGGGAAGTGGTAACAGAAGGGAGGAAAGGAGGGGAATGGGAAGAGGGTAAGGAGACTGGGAAGGAAAACCACCAGCATTAGATACAGGGGCTAAAGCAACCATCTTGTCCTTACTCACCGTCCCCCCTGATGGAAGGGGGAGGAAGCCAATGCAGCGCTGGGGGCTTCTGACTAAACTCAAGACTTTTCCACTTAAAGCTACCTCCGTGACATCCCTGGCCGCCTCCAGGACAGGGGTCTCCCTCTTCTGAAGGAGTCTATCCCACTGCTCTCCAGCTGTAGTCATACAACTTTCATCCTTCCCAAAGGGGACATTCCTGCCTTTGGAATTATAAAGAACAGTGGGCTTTCCTAGCATACAATAGCCCTTCAAAGATCTGAGGGGCTAGAGTGTCTTCCTAAGTGTCCCACACAGTCACTCAACTATCACTATTGAGCCCCCTCACCCAGAGTTTCTTCATCCATTCTTAGGCACTTGGCCAGCATCTTTATTTTCTTTTTCTTTCTTTCTTTTTTATTGAGACAGGATCTCAAGCTGGAGATCCAAGCTGGAGTACAGTGACTCAACCTCAGCTTACTGCAGGCTTGACCTCCTGGGCTTAAGCAATCCTCCTGCCTCAGCCCCCTGAGTAGCTGGGATTATGGGTGTGCACCACCACACCTGGCTAATTTTTTATTTTTTGTAGAGACAGGGTTTTGCCACGTTGCCCAGGCTGGTCGTGAACTCCTGGACTCAAGTGATCCGCCTGCTGCCTCAGCCTCCCAAAGCGCTGGGATTACAGGTGTGAGCCACCGTGCCTGGCATTTACTTACAGCTGACTGCAGAGCTTTCTTTCTTTCTTTCTTTCTTTTTGAGACAGAGTTTCACTCTTGTTGCCCAGGCTGGAGTGCAGTGGCAGAATCTCAGCTCACAGCAACCTCTGCCTCCCGGGTTCAAGGAATTCTCCTGCCTAAGCCTTGCAAGTAGCTGGAATAACAGGTGCCCGCCACCACACCCAGCTAATTTTTATATTTTTAGTAGAGACAGGGTTTCGTCATGTTGGCCAAGCTGATCTAGAACTCCTGACCTCAAGTGATCTGCCTGCCTTGGCCTCCCAAAGTGCTGGCATTACAGGCATGAGACACTGTGCCCAGCCGACTGTAGATCTTTTCTGCAGTCAACTGTCCTGAACCAGGACAGGCTTCCACAGATGTTATAATGGCTGTGTTTTGAGAAAGATAAGGATCCTCAAAGAAGTTGTGACTTTTTCCTACAACTACTCTAGGTTGAAAGTGTTTCCAGGACTTGATTGCTTTTTTTTTTTCATCAAGCTGGCCTTAGAGAAATGTCCAGTGGGATGTTTCGACTTCAACCTTATTCACGGCCTCCACGAGGGTTTCCATTTCCTTCTCAACGTCACTGACAAACTTTAAGTCCTTCCTGAAATGAGAAATCACCAGTTAATTTTGTCTGTCCCTGCCCTTCTGAGAACCCCTTTCACCCATCCTCTCCCTGTAAAGCGTAGACAATAGACAATGCTGGCAGTAAAACTGCAGAGATCAGGAATTGTCAGAAAACAGAAGGATGACTGACGGAAGAACAAAAGAGAAAAATATAAGAAATGAGAAGATGAAAGGAGAAGTAGCCACTGAAAGGCCAGGGACTCCAGGAGAAAAATAAGAGCTGTTATAGCTCCAACTGAGAACGCATGTGAATGTGAGACTGGGGTGGACAGAAGTGGAATGAAGCCCAGAGATCCTCCAATTTAGTCTAGTCCAGCCCTTGGGAGGCCCAAACTCTTACCACCACCCCACCCAAACTCTTATCTCAACCCTACCCCAAGTTCAGTTCTTTAAGGGGACAGTTTCGAGAAACCAAGAGAAGGATATTTATTAAACAGCACATAATCTCTTACAATAGATAAACAAACAAACTTGAACTGGCTTAATCACAGGAGGAGTACATATTAGTTATGACATCTCAAAAGACCAAACACCCTGACAAGCCACAATTAAGAAAGCAGGTAACAAGTTACATACCTGGCATCTTCTTTCAAACTATCACTGAATTTTGACCCTGAAGAACGTATATTGAAAGGATCAGAATCCTCACTGATATGAAATGCCTCTGCTAATCTCCTGAAAGAGAGAGAGAGGTATGCAAATAAAAGGAGTGGGAGGGAAACTATCTTGCAGTAACCCCGAGTGCCTACTATATCCTAAATTCTTTACACATTATTTATCTCTATTTTGGTAAACTGGATTATTAAGGAGAGAATAACAACAACTTGGGACATGAGGTGGTATTGTCTTCATAAAAGAAAATAAACAGATCTATAAGGATCTGAGCAAGTCATAGGCTGAACACTGGGGACTTAGATTATTTGGGGAAGAGGAGTTTGGGGGTGTGGGATCACTGAGAATGGTCAATGGGGGATGACTTTCTCTGAGGCTTTGTTTAAAGATAAGGTACATAAAATAGACATACAAATGTTAAAATTAATATAGAAATCTGAAAAGTAAAGAATTCCATTAACATATACACTTCATTTTTATACATTTCTTGGCTGGGTGCGGTGGCTCACACCAGTAATCCTAGGACTCTGGGAGGCCAAGGTAGATGGATCACTTGAGGCCAGGAGTTCGAGACCAGCCTGGCCAATATGGTGAAACCCTGTCTCTACTAAAAATACAAAAATTAGCCGGGTGTGGTAGCACGTGCCTGTAATCCTAGCTGCTAGGAGGCTGAGGCATGAGAATCACTTGAACTCAGGAGAAAGAGGTTGCAGTGAACCGAGATTGTGCCACTACACTCCAGCCTGGGCAACACAGTGAGACTCTGTCTAAAAATAATAATAATAATAATAATAATAATAATAATAATACATTTCTTTATTATTTTATTTTTATTGACCCATTGTCATTGCTTCATATTTATGAAGCAGTTTGATGTTGATGTCTCGGTACATATATACTATGTTGTATAATGACCAAATCAGTGTATTAGGCATATCCATCACCTGATGCCCTTATTATTTCACTGTGGTGAGAATACACAGAAGCCTCTTTTCTAGCTATTTTGTAAAATACTACACCTTACCGTTAACCATCATCACCCCAGTGTGCCATAGAACACGAGAACTTAGGCTGGGTACGGTGGCTCACGCCTGTAATCCCAGCACTTTGGGAGGCCGAGGCGGGCGGATCACCTGAAGCTGGGAGCTCGAGACCAGCCTGACCAACATGGAGAAACCTCGTCTCTACTAAAAACACAAAAATTAGTCAGGTGTGGTTGTGCATGCCTGTAATCCCAGCTACTCAGGAGGCTGGGGCAGGAGAATCGCTTGAACCCGGGAGGCAGAGCTTGCAGTGAGCTGAGATAGCGCCATTGCACTACAGCCTGGGCAACAAGAGCAAAACTCCTTCTCAAAAAAAAAAAAAAAAAAAAAAAAAAAACCACAGGAACTTATTACTACCATCTATTTGTAACTTTATATCCACTGACCAACCTCTCCTCAACCTCCCTTTTCCACCCTGTCCCTCTTCTCAGTCAGACAACACTGGTCTACTCTCTGCTTCTGTATTATTTTTTAAATATTCTACATATGAGTGAGATCGTGTGGTGTCTGTCTTTCTGTGTCTGGCTTATTTCACTTAACATGATGTCCTCCAGGTCCATCCATGTTGTTGCAAATGACAGGGTTTCATTTTTTTTATGGCCGAATAGTATTTCATTCTGTATATATACCCCATTTTCTTTATCCATGCAGCCATGTTGGCCACTTCAGTTGATTTCATATCTTGGCTATTGTAAATAGTGCTGCAACAAATATGAGAGTACAGGTATCTCTACAGATTTTATTTCCTCTGTAGAGATACCAAGTAATAGGATTGCTGGATCATATGGTAGTTCTATTTTTAATGTGAGGAAATTCCATACTGTTTTCCATAGTGGCTGTACTAATTTACAATCCCACCAAGAATGTGTAAGTGTTCCCTTTTTTCTAATTGTTTTTTTTTTTTTTTTGAGGCTGGGTCTGGCTCTTGTTGCCCAGGCTGGAGTGCAGTGGCATGATCTCAGCTCACTGTAACTTCCACCTCCTGGGCTTAAGCCATCCTCCTACCTCAACCTCTCCAGTAGCTGGCACTACAAGTGTGCCACCATGCCCGGCTAATTTTTGTATTTTTTGTAGAGACAGGGTTTTGCTATGTCGCCCAGGCTGGTCTTGAACTCCTGAGCTCAAGTGATCCGCTGGCCTCAGCCACCCAAATGCTGGGATTATGGGGATGAGCCGCTGTAACGGGCCCCTTTTTTCACTATAACGTTTCTCTCTATGTGTATATATATATATTTTTGGAGATGGAGTCTTGCTCTTGTCGCCCAGGCTGCTCTTGTCGCCCAGGCTGGAGTACAATAGCATGATCTCGGTTCACTGCAACCTCCACCTCCTGGATTCAAGCGATTCTCCTGCCTCAGCCTCCCGAGTAGCTGGGATTACAGGCGCCCGCAACCATGCCCAGCTAATTTTTGTATCTTTAGTAGAGATGGGGTTTCACCATGTTGGCCAGGCTGGTCTTGAACTCCTGACCTCAGGTGATCCACCCGCCTCGACCTCCCAAAGTGCTGGGATTACGGGTGTGAGCCACTGCGCCCAGCCTTTCTCTATAATTTTAAGTACCGCCATTATTATATTCAAAATTGTCTCACCCCCCCAAAAATAAGAATGTGAGGTAATGCATATGCTAATTAGCTTGATTTAGCCATTCCACAATGTATACATACACATCATGCTGTATTACCATAAATATATACCATTTTTATTTAATAAAAAAATTTTAAAAATTAAAAAAACCTTGTTTCTTTGCCTCTCAGCATTATCTTGTTAGCATTTCTCATATTATTATTTTGTTTTCACACTTAACTGTCTTCATGGCTCATAGTCTTCTAATTATGTTCCCATATTTTAATCATTTCCCATTTAGGTTTCTTTAACAGTTCCTCAGTTTCTCAATATTATATACGACACAATTAATATCTCTGTGCAAAAAGCTTTGAAAATGTTTCCAGTTGTGGGGTACATGGAGTGGACATAAGACTCTTGATCAATGTGGAGTAAGTGGTCTCCAGAAATGCCACTTAGTGCCCTAGCCATCAGTGTCTGAATCTCATGGCATCTCACCAACATTCAAGTTATTTTATTTTTTTAAAGCTAGATTTCAGCTTAGCACTTAGTACAATTTTCATTTACACTGCACCAAGAGTCACTTACAAGCTTAGTGCCCACAAGAATCTGGTTCACACTGCTAGATTTCCAATTTTTCAAAAGACACTTACTTTTCAAATTTTCAAGAGAATTTCTAGGGGAAGATCTTTTGATGTTTTGGTTAGTTGGCCACTAATTCAAATTTAAACACCAATAAAACCTGTCTGTGGGCTGAATTTGGCCTGCTAGGTTTTTATTTCTACAATAGAGATATACACACATACATATATATACACACAGGTGTATGCGTGTATATATGTGTGTGTATATATAGATATAACTTTAGATGGACTTTTCTTTAAATTTGCATTTTTTTCTCTTAGGTTTGTGTGTATTTATGAAAGACTCTATCCAGTAAGGGTCATTATGTCATCACCAAGATTGAGGAGAAATTCAAAAGGCTTTCAAAAATAGCTAGTTTTAATCAATAACATTTACTGAGTACCTACTATGTGCCAAGCTCTTGTGCCAAGAGCTTTATGAGTATCATTTTTAATGTATTAATCCTCACAACAACTCTGGAAGGTAAATACTGTTATTGTCATCATTTCTAGATTTTTAAGAAACCTAAGGCTTACAGACAATATGTGACTTGCCCAAGGTCTCATAGCTAAGTGATTTGTGAAGCCAGGATTCAAATCCAGACAATCTGACTCCAGAGCTCTGGCTCTAACTAGTATACAATATGTCTTTCAACCACCAAAAGTACATTTCCATGTTTGGAGACCTTCTGTGTATTCACTATAGCATTTCTGAATACCTAGGACTCCTAATTTACATTCTGCAGCTGAGAACACTGACTGACGGTTCCTAAAGGGCAAGGGTTTTGAACGGCACTCACTAGAAAGTTATTATAAGGGTCAAACCAAGGAAAATTTGGACAGCACTACTAGTCATCATATTACCTTCTACACACTTAATATGTAAAGAGGTACTATTAAAATTGCTGAAAGTCAAACTTCAAGGTAAAATAGGGCTATACTTTGTCTGCATTTGTCTAACTTTTTATCTTAAACAAATTTCAAAGACAAGTTATGAGAATATTACCATAAACTTCTATATAACCTTCACCTAAATTCTCCAATTATTAACAATTTGCAGGGCTATTCAATTTAATCAATCTTTGCTAGAATCAGAAAGTTTGTCAGTTGTTGAATAAATGCCTCTTGATCTGATAGAGTATCCTCAAATAACTTACTGCAGACATCATATTTAATGGTGAAATACTTAAAGTTTTCCCCATGAGATGGAGGATTAGTCAGGAACATCTATTTTTTTTTTTTGGTGAGACTGAGTCTTGCTGTATCGTCTAGGCTAGAGTGTGGTGGCGCCATCTCGGCTCACTGCACCCTCTGCCTCCCAGGTTCAAGCAATTCTCTTGCCTTAGCCTCCTGAGTAGCTGGGACTACAGGCGTCTGCCACCATGCCCGGCTAATTTTTGTATTTTTAGTAGAGACAGGGTTTCACCATGTTGACCAGGCTGGTCTCGAACTCTTGACCTCAAGTGATCCGCCCGCCTCAGTCTCCCAAAGTGCTGGGATTACAGGCGTGAGCCACCGCGCCCGGCCAAGGAATATCTATTATTACCACCCTCCATTCAACAATATACTGAAGGCCCTAACCAATACAATGAGGTAAGAAGAAGAAATAAAAGTTAAGAATTGGAAAGAAGGAAAAAAGATAAAAGAAAAAAGAAAGGAAAAAAATAACAGGAATTGACAATAAATAAAATTACTATTATTAGAAGACATGACTGTGTATATACAAAATCCAAAATAATCTACAATATCAGAAATAAGTGAATTTAGCGAGGTTGCTAAATAAGTCAATAATTATCAATTGTATTTCTAAATACCAGCAACAAGCAATTAGAAAATACCAATTTAGGCCGGGTGTGGTGGCTCACGCCTGTAAACCCAGCACTTTGGAAGGCTGAGGCAGGAGGATTGCTTGAGCCCAGGAATGTGAGACCAGCCTGGCCAACATAGCGAGATGCCATCTCTACCAAAAAAAAAACAAAAAAATTAGCTGGGTGTGGTACAAAAAAATGTAAAAATTAGCTGGGTGTGGTGGCATGCACTTGCAGTTCCAGCTACTTGGGAGGTGAGGTGGGAGGATCACTTGAACCCAGGAGGTAGAGGCTGCAGTGAGCTGTAATTGTGCCATTGCACTCCAGCCTGGGAGACAGAGTGAGACTCTGTATCAAAAAAAAAAAAAAAAAAAAAAAAAAAAAAAAATCAAGCCATTCACAGAATTTTTTTGCCTTATCTGTGATATATTTTTATGCCTGCTGAAGCACATAAATATCTTCTGTAACACATTTCTAAAATGAGCATTTGCTTTAAAATGAAGTCCTTGTAATTTGCATTTTTTTTTGAGGATGTCAACCTGGTCAAAAACAAAATAAACAAAACACTTGTCACATTAAATAATAATAATAATTTAAAAAAAATTAAAAGTTGGCCAGGCGCAGTGGCTCATGCCTGTAATCCCAGCACTCTGGGAGGCTGAGGCGGGCAGATCATAAGGTCAGGAGATTGAGACTGTCCTGGCTAACATGGTGAAACACCATCTCTACTAAAAATACAAAAAATTAGCCGGGTGTAGTGGTGGGCACCTGCAGTCCCAGCTACTTGGGACGCTGAGGCAGGAGAATGGCGTGAACCCGGGAGGTGGAGCTTGCAGTGAGCCGAGATCACACCATTGCACTCCAGCCTGGGAAACAGAACGAGACTCTGTCTCAAAAAAAAAATTACAAGTAATACAAGAAAAATAAACCCATCTATAGCAGCATCAAAAAGCAAGAAACAAATCTACTGAAAGAATACAAAATTTATATATAGAAAACCATAAAGTATCATTGAGAGAAATCAAAGAAGACATGAAATGCAAGAATACACCTTCTCTTGGACTAGAAAATTTAACATTGTAAAGATTCCAAATTGACCTACAAGTTAAATACCAACTCAATCAAAATCCCAGCAGGTTTCTTGGGTATATATTATAATAACAAGCCAATTGTGAAATATAAGTGGAAATGGGCTGGGTGCAGTAACTCATGCTTATAATCCCAGCACTTTGTGGGGCCAAGGCAGGAGGTTCGCTTGAGCCAGAAGTTTGAGACCACCCTGGTCAACATAGTAAAACCCTGTCTTTACAAAAGAAAAAAAAAAAAAAAAGAAAATCTTAGCCAGGCGTAGTGGTGTGTGCCTGTAGTCCTATCTATTTTGGAGGCTGAGGCACGAGGATCCCTTGAGCCCAGGAGTTCAAGGGTACAGTGAACTATGATTGTGCCACTACATTCCAGCATGGGTGACAGAGCAAGATCCTATCTCAATAAATAAATACATAAATGAAAAAGACATTAAGTGGAAATGTAAAGGGCTAAGAATAAAGAATAATCAAAGACAATATTGAAGAAAAGTCATGGTTGAGGATATATACTACCAGATATTAAGACTTGTTATAAAGGTACAGTAATTAAGACAGTGTGATACTAGTGCAGTTGAACAGGATGAGCTCAGAAACAGACTCACATATATATATATATTTGATATACTTTATTTATTTATTATTATTTTTTGATGCGGAGTCTCCCACTGTCGCCCAGGCTAGAGTGCAGTGGCACCATCTCGGCTCACTGCAAGCTCCGCCTCCTGGGTTCATGCCATTCTCCTGCCTCAGCTTCCCGAGTAGCTGGGACTACAAGTGCCCGCCACCATGCCCGGCTAATTTTTTGTATTTTTAGTAGAGATGGGGTTTTACCAGGATGGTCTCGATCTGCTGACCTTGTGATCTGCCCACCTCAACCTCCCAAAGTGCTGGGATTATAGGCACCACCATTACGGCCATGGTGAGCCACCATGCCCGGCTTATTTTTTTTTTTTTTTTTTGAGACAGCATTTCACTCTGTCACCAAAAGTATAGTCCAGACTGGTGATCATGGCTCACTGTAGCCTCAACCTCGCAGGTTCAAGCAATCTTCCCACCTCAAGCCTCCCAAGTAGCTGGGACTACAGGTGTGCACCACCACACCTGGCTAATTTTATTTTATTTTTTGTACAGATGAGGTTTTGCCAAGTTGCCCAGGCTTATATGTGATGTATGACAGAGGTGGCACTGCAGAGTGCTGGGAAAAGGACAATCTTGGTACTCGTCAAATGGATATTCACGTGGAAAAAAGCTGAATTGTAAACTCTCCTTATCCATACTCAAAAAAATCAGTACAGGTCAACTGTAGATTTAAAATGTGAAAGGTAAAATAACACAGTTTCTAGATAATAACAGAATATTGTCATTGCCTCAGGATAGACAAATTTTTCTAAATAGGACATGAAAAGTGCTTATTAAGAAACTCAAATAAACTGGATAATATTAACATTAAAAATTTCTGTTTATCAAAAGACAACAAGAGTTCTTTAGCTTCTGGGATTAAAAAAAGGCATCAAGAGAGTAAAAAATGAAGGTACAGAGTGCAACAAAGTACTCACAATGTATACATAGAGCCAACAAAGGACTCATATTCAGAATACATAAAGAATTCCTACTAATCAATACAAAAAGAGCACAAAAAAATAAGCAAAGGACTTGTACAGGCACTTCAAAAATGAGGCTATCCAATGGCCAGTAACTACAAGAAAGGTGCTCAATCTCTTAAGTCATCAGGAAAATAGAAATTAAAAGCTCAATGACATCTTGTTATACACATCTACAAAATGGCTAAAATTAAAAAGTGACAATTTCAAGTGCTGACAAAAATGTACAGCAATGGGAATTATCCTTAGCTGGTGGGAGTGTAATTTGGTACAATCACTTTGGACATGGGCAGAATCTACTAATGCTGAACACACATAAACCCTATTAATCAGCAATTCTACTTCTGGCTTATATCCAACAGAAATGTACAGAAATATAGAGCAAGCAAGTTTAAGAATGTTCTGGGCTGGGCGTGGTGGCTCAAGCTTGTAATCCCAACACTTTGGGAGGTCGAGGCAGGTGGATCACCTGAGGTCAGGAGTTCGAGACCAGCCTGGCCAACATGGTGAAACCCCATTTCTACTAAAAATACAAAAATCAGCTGGGCATGGTGGTACACACCTGTAATGCCAACTACTCTGGAGGCTAAGGCAAGAGAATCGCTTGAACCCGGGAGGCAGAGGTGGCAGTGAGCCAAGATCATGCCATTGCACTCCAGCCTAGGCGACAAGAGAAAAACTCCATCTCAAAAAAAAAAAAAAAAAAAAGAATTCTTAACAGTTTTATTTGTAATAGTCTAACAGTTAATACAAAGATATCCATTAACAGTATAATGGGTAAATGAATAGTAATACAAAAAAAATCATGCAGGAATAAAAATGAATAAAGCATTGCTACATGCAACAACAGGAGTGAATGTCACAAAAATATAACGAAAGAAGCCAGACAAAAATAATACAAACTACATGATTTCATCACTTACATAAAGTTCAAAAACTAATCTAAAGAGAAATTAGGATAGAGGTTTCACCTTTATGTAGAGTACAAGAGACGGTTCTGGTAATTATCTTTTCACCTGTATCCATACTCAACTGTATTCATTTAGTGACACAAATGATTACACAACTGTAATCATTTAGTGACGATTCACTGATCTGCACACTTCCAATCTTCAATATGTATGCTAAACTTCAACGAAAAGTTAACTAAACATTGTTTTAAACCTCTTATCTCTGAGTCAGGAAGTTGGCCAGTCCCTGAATAAGTATGCTGTGTTATGTGATGTTTATATCATGCCCAAAACCACACAGCTCATGTTTCTCAATATGCTGAAATCACCTGAGTGGTTTATCCTTAAGACAATTCAATTCTTGGTAACGGCATTTCTCTTGCTCTTTGATAACGGTAAAAGACGCAGCGCAGTGCTGAGTGAATGACGTTTGAAGGGTTGCTCCCTCCCATTAATTTCACAGAGCTCAAGGGCAAGGAGATTAAAAAAGCAGCTGCAACTACTTACTTTTTCCTTTCCAAGGCTGAACACTCCTCATCACACTCCAGCCTTGATAAGCAAATGAAAAAAAATTAAAGTCAGAATACAGACTGTACAGCTCCCATCCAGCAAGAAAAGGAAGTCTCAGTCAACCTGGAAGCACAGCTGACTCTTGCCAAAAAACAATCCCTCAGGCCAGGAAGCAGCCTGTGAGGCCACCTGCTCTTCAGTTTCCATTAGTAACCTTGCCCTAGAAATACCATTTCCCCAGGGACCCCAATCCAGGAATGGCTGGATGAGGTCCCTCTGAAGGACAGGTGGGATGATGGCCTCTCTGTTATGGGGTCTAGGAGTCCTCCAGTGGCCTCAGAGTGTTCCCTGGCTGCTCAGCCCCAAATGCTCCACAGGTGCCCCTCTTAACAGCCCAATCTCCCTCTCCAGAGATGGCCACCTCTCTGGGTTCTCTATTCTCATATGGGTTAAGCTAAACACCTATAGGTCTCTGCTTCCTTCGGTTACTGTGAGGCCTGGAAAAGTCTCCTTTAGTCTTAGCCATCTCCTGAGTAGGATTCATTGGGGATGGAGCAGATGTCTCAACATCAAATTGTCTATTGAATACTTATTGTGTATGCAAGGCTCTACTATGAAGGATTGAGATAAATGAATAATCTCTGCCCTCTAATTGAAGTCTAATTGAAGAAAGAAGGCACATATATGCATTTTAAAAATTACCTGGCTTGATGAACTTCCTTTTTGGTAATTAACTTGCTGATCTCCACTGAACCTCCAAGCTGCATGTCTGTTATCTTAGAGGCCATGGAGATTGCAGCTATTCTGAAATATAAAAAAGAAAGGGAAAAAGAGGCATTGCAGTTTCACAAGAACCTCCTTATACTTGGGATACAGAAGACCTCTTTAAAAGCAAATCTAGGCCAGGTGTGGTGGCTCACGCCTGTAAGCCCAGCACTTTGGGAAACCAAGGCAGGTGGATCACCTGAGGTCAGGAGTTCATGACCAGCCTGGCCAATATGGTGAAACCCCGTCTCTACTAAAAATACAAAAAATTAGCCAGGCATGGTAGCAGGTGCCTGTGATCCCCGCTACTCAGGAGGCTGAAGCAGGAGAATCACTTGAACCTGGGAGGTGCAGGTTGCAGTGAGCCGAGATTGCACCATTGCACTCTAGCCTGGGCAACAGGAGCGAAACTCCATTTCAAAAAAAAAAAAAAAAAAAAAAGCAAATCTATCAGATGAAAACTGGTGTGGCCTTGGAAGCCCGGCTACTATGAACTACCTACATATTTATGTCATATCTCTTCAATTATATTCAAAGCAGCTACATGGGAAGCGATGAGGTGACTCAATCCCTCAGTATCCCCTAGAGCAACACTTGGCACTTAGTAGGTATTCAAACACAGCCAATCTGATGTGTGCATCCTCTTAAAGTCCTATATCCATGGCACCTCTCCCCATCTAACCAGATATATATATATATAACCATTCATTCTCTAACACCTCCATCTCAGCACTCAGATCCCTGTACGGCTACACAGGTCCCAAGACTTCAGGAGGCTGCAGAGATACCTCACAGAACAATTAGAAACCCTCACACCAGAGGAGCACAGAGCTTAGCCCTGGCTGTGTCAATGACAAATGGTAGGATGTGAAAGCAATTCACCTAACTTCAGGACATCTTCCCTTCTTATCTCACAATGTAATACGACCAAAAGAGAGAAAAAAAGAAAGAGGAAGGAGGAAGCGGAGAAATTTCAAAGTTATTTTACACACTAAAGTTAGGGAAGAAAAGGTATATAAAGCAGCACTGTTTCTTTGAACTAGAGAAACCAGATTTTTAAAAATGTATGTAAGAAACTTTCCAGCCAGGTGTAGTGGCTCACGCCTGTGATCCCAGCACTTTGGGAGGCCAAGGTGGGAGACCAGCCTGGGAAACAGGGCGAGACCCCTCTCAATAAAACAAAACAAAACAAACAAAAAAACCTTTCCAGCTTTTAGAAAAGTTGCAAGGATACTATGATAAACACATGTATCTGTGCAGTGGTGTTTACAACTGATTACAACAGTTACAGACTTCGTTTCTTCTCCACTCCCACTGCTTCACTTGACTAGCTTTAAAAACAAAACAAAACACATGTATCTGTTTCACCTAGGCCATCAGTTGTTAACATTTAAGTAACACTAACCTTTGATAAGTACTAGATGCTTCAGAGCAAATCACCATCTCTTTTCTTCGTCCACATTCACACTGTAGCTCTACCTGAAGTCAGATGAACATGGAACGACTTTTAGCACACTGGAACTATGTGAATAAAGCACTTTTCACTCTTAAATCCTCTCTTAAACCATAGCAGAGACTAGAGAGTCAGTGGGTGGCCACTCTCCAAGCTGGAAGAAGCTAACCACACATGCAAACTGACACAGTTGTTGACATGCTAGGAAAGAATTGCCCCGTCCACAATGCCCCCTTTTGGAAACCACCTCTGTTCTTAATCCTGGCTGAAGGGGCAGGCCTAGGATGAAGTTTGTACCATCAGAGACAGACACTTGCCCTAGGCCCAACTGTGGCCTAGCCAACTCCAAGCCAACTCCACATCCTCAAGGTGGCCACACTTGATCCTTTAGACCAGGCTTAACCTCCCATTTACCTGCTCTCATAGCCCCCTCCACAAGGCTTAAACTACTCCCTCATGACACCACAGCCATAATTAGTTATCTAAGTAATAATCAAGTATCTGTCCTATCAGATTGTGAGGAACCATGTGTCTCTTGTTCACTAATTTATCCCTAGCACCTCATACTATGTCTTGCACAAAAGACATTTATACATTTATTAAATAAATGGAGTAAACAATCAGTGACTATTGAGAATCTCACCCAAGGGAGACACAGACTGTGGTCCGGTGGCAGTGGGTACCTGCTGAATCAAAAGGCCATACCAAGTTGGGCAGGCAGAAACTTGTATGACTTACTCTACCTTTCTCTAACTTGTGGTTATTTGCAACCAATGACCCTTAATTAAGATGCATGCCCAGGGGCCACTGTAGACAGTTCTGGATTCACTAGTAGCCTCAGAACTACAGTCAATGCTGCATCTGTGGCCAGAAATACCCACCTTAGCTTTACAAGCAGTCACAGGGCAGGGTGAGCTGGTATGGCAGGGTGCCATACACGGGTGACCACAGTCAGCTCTGGGGGTGGTGCAGGGCTGCTTGCAGGGCTCATCCACAAGACACTCCCCTTTGTGACAGAGTCTCTGACATTTGTGCATCCCACATGGTAGCGTGGCACTGCAGGGTAATCCGCAAGAGATATCAACCAGGTGACAGGGGATGTTGCTCCGAAACTAGGAGAGACAGAAGTAGCCAGATTCTCATCTCCATGTGGGATTTGGGGTGAGTTTTAACTTTCTCTTTAAACATTTCTAAGCTTATGGCAGGGTTTGGTTTTGTTTTGTTTTCGGATATAGGGTTTCACTGTTGCCCAGGCTGGAGTGCAACAGTGTGATTATGACTTTCCTGGGGCTCAGGTGATCCTCCCATCTCAGTCTCCCAAGTAGCTGGGATTGCAGGTGCATGCCACCACGCCCAGCTAATTTTTGAATTTTTTTTTAAGAGATGGGGTTTCACCATGTTGCCCAGGCTGGTCTCGAACTCTTGAGTGGAAGCGATCCACCCGCCTAGGCCTCCCAAAGTGCCGAAATTACAGGTGTGAACCACTGCATCTGGCAATAACAGTTTGTATTTATTTATTTATTTTGAGACGAAGTCTCACTCTGTTGCCCAGGCTGGAGTACAGTGGCGCCAATCTCGGGGCTCACTGCAACCTCCACCTCCAGGGTTCAAGTGATTCTCCAGCCTCAGCCTCCCGAGTAGCTGGGGTTACAGGTGTGTACCACCACGACCAGCTAATTTTTGTATTTTTAGTTGGGGTTTCGCCATGTTGGCCAGATGGCTGGTCTTGAACTCCTGACTTCAAGTGATCCACTTGCCTTGGCCTCCCAAAGTGCTGGGATTACAGGCATGAACCACCACACTCAGCTCAGTTTTTAAAATAAGGATTATTATTACTTTAATTTTTAGAGACAGGGTCTCACTATGTTGCCTAAGCTGGACTTGAACTTCTGGGCTCAAGTGAGCCTCTTGCCTTAGTCTTCTGATTAGCTGGGACTACAGGTACATGCCACTGCATCCAGCTTAAAAGCTGTATTTTTAAAAAAGCTCTATTTATCTGAAAAGAAATCAGTTTGATTTTCAAAGTCTGAAAGGTTAGTTTGAGATGAAGAAAACAAACCTTAACTTTATTTAATAATCCCTGTTATGACTCAAAAGGATTTGCAGCAGAAGCCAAAAATGTGATCTGGAACATAAACTTTCCAAAGTGACAACAAACAAATGTAACTAGGTAACTAGGGAGTGCTTGAAAATGCTATGACTAACTGGCAGGGGCAGATGATCTTTTCCCTCCTTTCTGAACTGCTAAAGCAGAGTCAATAGACTAATTCTTATAGATGCGGGGTGGAGGGCAACCTTAGCCCAGGGTTCTGAGACTGATGGCAGGGCCATTTTTTCGTTTTATTTTGCCTTTTTTTTTTTTTTTTTTGAGATGGAGTCTCGCTCTGTCGCCCAGGCTGGAGTGCGGTGGCGCCATCTCAGCTCACTGCAACCTCCACCTCCTGGGTTCAAGCGATTCTCCTACCTCAGCCTCCCAAGTAGCTGGGACTACAGGTGTGTGCCACCATGCCCAGCTAATTTTTGTATTTTTAGTAGAGACAGGGTTTCACTATGTTGGCCAGGCTGGTCTCCAACTGCTGACCTCAGGTGATCCACTTGCCTCAGCCTATCAAAGTGTTGGGATTACAGGCATGAGAAACCACGCCTGGCCTGTTTTGTTTTTTTTGAGGCAGAATCTTGCTCTGTTGCCTAGGCTGGAGGGCAGTTGCACAATCGTGTCTCACTGCAGCCTTGAACTCCTGAGTTCAAGTGATCCTCCTGCCTTAGCCTTCCAAGTAGCTGGGAGTACAGGCATGCCACTAAACCCAGCTAATTTTTGTATTATTTGTAGAGACAGGATCCCACTAGGTTGCCCAGGCTAGGAGGCTGTTTTCTGTAATTAAATACTTAACTCTCCTCATGTCTCCCAACTCATGGTCTCCACAGCTTCACGCAGTCCTGTCCTTTAAAAAATTAAGAGACAACAGGGGATAGAACCCCCAATTCTTTTTTTTTTTCTTGAAAAATGGCCTGTTTCCACGCTTCCTCACCATAGGAAAAAGCTGCTGAAATTTTACTCTCGTAGGACCAAAGGCTAGTCTTGAACCCTCGAAATGAGGGATATACTTCTACTGCAGTGACACACAACTTCTCCCCCTGAAGAGACTTCCAACATCTAGGACATACATATTTCCCATCGCACTGGAATCCATATTTTAGTAGAATGTAGTTCTCAATCATTAAACACTTACCCATTCTACTACCAGGGCAAAGGGGATAATTTTTGCCCATGCTCTGCCCTGTCATCCTCTCCACATTACTTTCTTCTCACTATCCTTTAGGATGTTAATTTTTCCAGAACACCTGGAGAGCCCTTCCATCCTCCTTAGCCCTCTGTATTTCCCGCATTACTGCTATTGTCTGTTTTCATGCCTGCCTCCTAACCCAAAGTGAAGGCTTCATAAGGGCAAGGGTTAGTCTCGTTCACTTCCAAAGCACCCAAACCTAGCCTGTTACCTAGCACATAGTAGGTACTCATACTCGATATCTGTTGAATGAAGTCTTAATAAGCCATCAGTACGAAGATAACACATTGATGTTTTAGAATGGATAAACTGGAAAAGGTGAGACATATAGAAAAGAATAAATACCAAGGACTTGAGAACCACCCACAGGAAATCAGTGGAGGAATATACGTCCATGAAGATAAAAGAATATAGCATGTTGTTATAGATGTCAAGAGTTTCATGAAATGTTGGCCAATACGTCATGATGCAAAAAAAGCAGGTTACAAAACAATATCTTTTTTTTTTTGGTATAGGACAGTTGGAATGTAGCAAACAGTATCATCTTAACCACAGCAAGGAAAAATGTGTACCACGTCTGGTGGTTTATATGCCAGAATGGTAGAGTATTTCTTTCTCAGTAGCAGAATTAAATCTTCTCAACTGTACAATAAATATGCATTTCTTATTGGACTTCACTTTATTGCATTTCATAGATATCACATTTTTTACAAATTGAAACTTTGTGGCAACCCTGTCTCCAGCAAGTCTATCTGTTCCACTTTTCCAACAGCACATGCTCATTTCGTGTCTGCATCACATTTTGGTAATTCTCGCAACATCTCAGACTTTTTCATTATTATATCTGTTAGGGTGACCTGCAATCAGTGATTTTTTTTTTTTCTTTTTTCTTATTTCAATAGTTCTTGGGGAACAGGTGGTGTTTGGTTACATGGATAAGTTCCTTAGTAGTGATTTTTGAGATTTTGGTGCACCCATCACCCGAGGAGTGTACATTGTACCCAATGTGTAGTTTTTAAAATTTATTTTTTTTTTCGAGACGGAGTCTTGCTCTGTTGCCCAGGCTGGAGTGCAGTGGTGCGATATTGGCTCACTGCAACATCCGCCTCCCGAGTTCAAGCAATTCTCCTGCCTCAGCCTCCCAAGTAAAGTAGCTGGGATTACAGGGATGCGCCACCAGGCCCGGCTAATTATTTTAGTAGAGATGGGGGGGGTCTCACCTTGTTGGCCAGGCTGGTTTCGAACTCCCGACCTCATAATCTACCTGCCTTGGCCTCCCAAAGTGCTGGGATTATAGGCATGAGCCACCGTGCTCGGACCCAGTGTGTAGTTTTTTATCCCTCACCCGCCTCCCGTCCTTTCCCCAGAGTCCCCAAAGTCCATTGTATCATTCTCATGCCTTTGCGTCCTCATAGCTTAGCTCCCTCTTATAATTGAGAACATACGATGTTTGGTTTTCCATTCCTGAGTTACTTCACTTAGAATAATGGTCTCCAAATCCATCCAGGTTGCTGTGAATGCCATTATTTCGTTCCTGGCTGAGTAGTATTCCATGGTACGTATAGATACACCACAATTTCTTTATCCACTTGTTGACTGATGGGCAGTTGGGCTGGTTCCACATTTTTGCAATTGTGAATTGTGCTGCTATAAACATGCGTGTGCAGGTATCTTTTTCATATAATGACTTCTTTTCTTCTGGGTAGACGCCCAGTAGTGGGACTGCTGGATCAAACGGTAAATCTACTTTTAGTTCTTTAAGGAATCTCCACAGTTTTCCACAGTGGTTGTACTAGTTTACATTCCCACCAGCAGTGTAAAAGTGTTCCCTTTTCACCACATCCACGCCAACATCTATTATTTTTTGATTATTGCCATTCTTGCAGGAATAAGGAGGTTATTAAAAAAAAATTTGGTATTTTAAAGTAAAATGATTGGAACAGACAACATTGGTTTTCAGAAGTTGGAAGTAGGGGACATTGAGTATACAGGGGCATGAAGGATATTTGGGGGTGACTGAACTGTTCTATATCTTGATTGTGGTAGTGGTTTGATGGTATGTATGCTTTTGCTAAAACTCATGGATCTGTACAATAAAAAGGGTAAATTCTGTTGTATGCAAATTATATCTTAAGAAAAAATTTTTAAGCAATGGAAAGCTTCTACTTCTGAGTGTATTTACTTTGACAGACGATGAGACTAACAATTCTTAAGTAATAAAATCATGAACCTCTGCCTGGAACAATGAGCACTTGAGAGAGAAAACTTACCTCATGCTTGCCCATGCACCACTTCTGAGTTAGGAAAGTGCAAGGGGGACACTTCTCCTCACTATGACAAGAATGATATACTGCAGAAAGAGAAAGGTAACTTTAGGAATACTTTCTAAATAAAGCCATGTAAACCATTATACATCATATAAGTGGCATACGGCATGAAACTTTTAAATTCAGAAACTGGGAGTACTTTTGAAAAACGGTCACAGGAAAGTAAAAAGTACCTTGCTTTATGTTAAAGTGTTGAAGGACAAGCATGAGTGAGAAAAAGAAACCCAACCAAGGAGGAAGAGACATGCCAAAACAGAAGCAGATGAGGCAGCTTTCCCATCTCATCTCTTGCAGCACAGCCATATGGTCCATCCAATTCTACTACGTCATTCTTTTGGCCCTACTTTAACCGCAACTGCTCACTTCTGCTCAGATATCTTTGCTATTAATTCCATCTAAAATGCTTCTGCTGACTCCTTCCAATTTCATTACTGCCTATAAGGGGAGGTTCATCAAAACTCACCTCCTACAATGAACCTTTCCTTGGCTACCACACTCTCGTCTGGGCTCCCTCACACTTCCTGGTGTCTCAGTTCCTATGCAGATGGGTTGCTGCCACATTATTTAGCCCATCTTCATGTGAAGGGTGGTTGTATCATGTGTATTGAACTACTGTCCTCCTCCTCTCGGAGAATGTTAAGAACCTCAAGGTCACAGGGTATTTTTCTCTTCCTCTGAAGTTCCCTCTATGTCTGACACCATGTTAGAAATACAATAAACACTTAAGAAAATGGAAATGAATGGGGAACAAAATAGGCTAAAACAACACAATTCACAAATGGTGAAGTTCTTACTATGGACCTTGCCCAGCAGCATTTGGAATTCATCTGCAGGTTAAGTGTAAAGGAGGCAATCGGTGGGGACTGGCCTGGGCATGTACTTCATGCTGGTATGAATGCCACAGGAGGGGCTTGCAAACTACGCTGGGAGGGCTATCCTAAGATCCCCAAGGAAGGAGGGAACATTCCACTTAATGAAGAATTTGTTAAGTTCTGTTTTACTCCATTAACTTAAAAAATCAAGAGTTGGTTTTCTAGTTTTAAGTCTGAATCATACTGCCAGACTAACTGTGGGTATCAAATCTGGTCCCCTGAATTACTTCAGGTTTGCCTCTGGTATTTGGTAAAATGAAATGATGGGCCCGGTATGGTGCTAGAGAAAAGCCAGCAACTAGACTTGACAGATACGGAAATTGAGTGATGTCAAATGGTTGTTGGCCTGGTATCTGAGCAGTTTATCAGAGGAAAACTGAAAACACTAAAATGTCCAGCAACACAAGACTGACTGAATAAGTTATGGCCCATCCATGTAACAGGACACTCAATTGAAATTAAAAGTTTATATTGTAAAAAAATACTTACAAGGGGACAGATCAAAAATATAATAATAAGAGTGGGAAAAAAAGCTAGTTAAAAGCATTAAGTTCAGTAGGATCCCACTTTTACATTGGGGAAAAAATGCAAACATATATATTTGCACATGGCAAAAGACCCTGAGAAATACATATAAGGTATAATTCTTTGGAGGTGACATATAATAGATTATTTAATTTCAAACTTTTGACTTTATCTCTCTTTTTTTTTTGAGACAGAGTCTCACTCTGTCACCCAGGCTGGAGTGCAATGGCACAGTCTCGGCTCACTGCAACCTCTGCCTCCCGGGTTCAAGTGATTCTCTTGCCTCAGCCTCCCAAGTAGCTGGGATTACAGGCGTCCACCACCACGCCAGGCTAAGTTTTGTATTTTTAGTAGAGACAGGGTTTTACCATGTTGGCCAGACTGGTCTCAACCTCCTGACCTCAGGTGATCCACCTGCCTCAGCTTCCCAAAGTGCTGGGATTACAGGTGTGAGTCACTGCACCCGGCCTTTTTTTTCTTTTTCTTTTTCTTTTCTTTTTTTGAGATGGAGTCTCACTCTGTTGCCCAGGCTGAAGTGCAGTGGCACAATCTTGGCTCACTGCAACCTCTGCCTCCCGGATTCAAACAATTCTCCTGCCTCAGCCTCCTGAGTAGCTGAGATTACAGGTGCCCGCCACAATGCCTGGCTAACTTTTGTATTTTTAGTAGAGACATGGTTTCACCATGTTGGCCAGAGTGGTCTCGAACTCCTGACCTCAAGTGACCCGCCCATCTCAGCCTCCCAAAGTGCTAGGATTACAGGCATGAGCCACTGTGCCTGGCCTCTATTTTCTTTTTTGAGACAGAGTCTTGGTCTGTCGCCAGGCTGGAGTGCAGTGGTGCGATCTCAGCTTACTGCAACCTCTGCCTCCCGGGTTCAAGTGATTCTCCTGCCTCAGCCTCCCGAGTAGCTGGGACTACAGGCGTGCACCACCATGCCCAGCTAATTTTTGTATTTTTAGTAGAGACGGGGTTTCACCATGTTGGGCAGGATGGTCTCAATCTTTTGACCTCATGATCTGCCCCTCCTTGCTCTCCCAAAGTGCTGGGATTACAGGCATGAGCCACTGCGCCTGGCCCTGGCCTCTATTTTCTTAATTTTAATACGATAAATATATATTGCTTCTATAACAACAAAAAAGTCACTTTTAATTTTGTAAAAAGATGCTAAATTTCAAAACATGCACCAAAGTGGAGACCACAAAGAAAGAAAAGTTCTTGAGAGATAAGATCAGCTGGGGAGTCTTCCAACGTTTTTAGGTGTGTTTGACATCCCTAGAGTAAACCAATGGAGGGCACTGTGATTCCAAGCTGTGGCCCAGATCACAGACCCACCTTCAGAGAACCAGCCCCTGAGCCGGGAGCAAGGGGCAGCCATCACAGCATGACTCTAGAGCAGTGAAGACAGTAACACAGCAGGATCCTAAATGACATGGTGTGAGCAGGCTGAAGTGTGAAGACAAGTTGGTACTCACCTGGATGGTCACACTCATGGACTCTAGCGCAGGTTTGGGTACATTCAGGGGGCCTAGTACCACAGGGAACTGGAGGGTAAATCACTGATGCACCACAATGGCAGGTTAATTCATCAAAACCTGGTGGAGCAGCAGGTAAAACAAAAGAATCCTTTCTGAGTTTGGGATGTGCAAGTACATACTAACACACACAAACACACACATTTTTGCTTGTATTTTTAGAGGAGAATTTATGGGGGTGCTACTTTTTTCAAAAGAGGTTTTTATTTTATTAAACTTTTATTTTATTAAAGCTAAGCTGGTGAAAAAGGCATGAACAGATATGAAGTTTCATTTATTACTATGACCCTGACAACTTCCCAATACTTTTCCCAACATATTTCTAGACTGGAGATTATATTAATGACTGAGTTTTTAATATTATAATAGGAAATTTATCAACATTTCAAAGATCACATAACTCAGTGAAGAATTATTTTCCAAATGATCAATGTGGGCTATTATAAAATCATGCACGGGTAAAAAGATCCATTCAAAGTACAAGAAAGTCCAATAAATTTTTGTGACAGAGAATAAAAACACCGAGTCAAGTCCTTTCTAAAATGAGGTTGAATTTTGGTGTAATTTCAAAGAATATCAATAATTATTTGAAAACATCTTTAAAATACTCTTCCCTTCTCCTGTGTAAGGCTATCTGTGTAAGGCTGGATTTTTTTCATATGCCTCAACTATATCACGACAGACTGGATGCAGAAGTAGATACAAGAATCCAGCTACCTTCTATTAAACCAAGTATCCGCTATTCTACTTTTTTGAAAAGTTATTTAAAAAAATTTTTGTGATTACATGCAATGA